>NC_000014.9:75975349-76126864 GCF_000001405.40 Homo sapiens | reverse complement strand
TAAGTTCTAAATGCCTGCAGTCAGGGTGGGGCATTACCCCCCAACCTATCCTTGGTACACCCCTAGGCAGGAATTCTATTTGGTACAGGTGCATCTACTCCAGAAAGAGATCCTACCCCTGGACCCTAGCAGGAGGCAAAGAGCAGAGGGAGGAATGGGTCTAGGGATCACAGATAAGAAGAATCCATTACTGCATAGCAAACCATCCCAAAACACATGGTTTACAACAACCGCCATTTTATCACATATGATTCTGTGGGTTGGCAGGGCAGGGCAGGGCTCAGTTGGGATGGCTCATCTCTGCTCCATGTGGCTTGACTGGGCTTAGTGTGTGGCTTACGATTTGGGCTTGAAGATCCCCAGTGGTCTCCTTCTCATGCCTGCCCTCTTCCCTTGGGATGGCTGAAACACTGGGACTCCTCTTTCCTCACAGTCTTTCATCCTCCAGGTCTTTTCTCGCCATATGACTTCTCTAGTAGGATGACCCAGACCTCTTTATATGGAGACTTAGAACTCCAAGAAAGAAAGCAGAAGTTGTAAGGCTTCTTCAGACTAGGCATAACCTTCAGACCTTGCACAACTTCACTTTGGCTGCAAGTCATAGGTCAGTTCCGATTCACCGTGGGAGGAAACCACACGAGAGTGTAAATTCAGAGAGGTGTGACCCATCCGCCCCACCCAGCTACCTCCTGAGCTTACCCCATCTGTGCCTTCCCCAATAGTTTTCCTCAGATCTAATTGATACTTAACAGTAACAGCAGTAACCTGTGCTTCCTGTGTCCCAGGCTTTGTGCAGAGGGCTTTGGGGAACATCTCATTGAATGGAGGGTGCTGCTCTCCAGTGAGGCCACAGATGCTGCTGGGTCCCTTGGTGCTCTAACTTCACCTGTGAGGCCCAGTACACAAAGCCCATTCCAGCAGGTCTTCTGCACCTCTCGGCATCACTACCCTCCTCCTCTCTCTAAGCTGCACCTAAGTGTGTATATCTATTATAAGAAGGGGGAGAACAGCCCCGCAGTATGTCACAGGAGTGATAATTACATCCCAAACTCCCATCATGCCGTCTGCTGCTGACCTCTCACCCTTCCTCTCTTTTAATCACCCCTCAGCTTCACTCACTCTGACAGAGCAGCAGCACAGGCCCTGTGACCTGTCAGCCCCGAGACATGACTTATAGGGCCTTGCAGGTGGACAAAGGGAAGGGAGATAGGCCACATAAATCTCCCGAGAGAATAAAAGAGAGTAATGGAGAGCATTCCCCAGGCCTGCGCTAGCAGATTCCCGTGGTCTTGTTATTTGGCGCAGAGTTACGGTGATGAGGAAGTGGCCCAGGCTGACATGTGGGTCCCAATCAACCTTGCCAAAGCCGGCAGCCTCTACAGGAGTTCCAATGTCACGTCCACTCCAATGTCCCTGGGGAGGGTGGAATGGGGAAGGGCAGCAGGACCACAGATGCTGGCTCTTAGGCGGCTTTACTGTATCACGGAGGGGAGGGAAGGAAGGAGAACCAGCCTTAGGCAAAGCAATCCCTGGCCTAGCCCCTCCTTGGATGGGATTCTCTGAAGAGCTCAATCAGGAACTTCTTCCAAGTAGGAGACAGGGCAGGAGAATCAGGCATGGGTGTGATGCTTCCTACATGTTGAGAAGCCAGCTGGACTGAGGGCACTGATGAGGATGATGTCACATGTTGTCTGTAGCACTCATCGGGGCCTTTCTCTAAGCTTCACTAATTAGGATGAAGACACCTGTCTCCACCAAGGTGCAGGACAAAGAATGGAATGCTGTTGGCCTAGAACCCTGGCCTGGGTAGTCATATCACCCTTCTGTGGGTGTACCCTTGAGTTGGCATGAGTTGATTATCCTTAAACACACTCGTTTGCAAGACACCAGCAGGCTTCCAAGTGCTTCTTTACCTACTCCCTGAGTCTAACTCAGGAGGTGCAAACCAGGGCCCATAAGCCAAACATAGCCCCACAGGTGTCTGTCAATATTTGATCTGCATTGGTTTTATCAGATTAGAATGAGCAGATCTTCAGACAGGGCAAGCTATCAACACTCCGTGCCCCAAGCTATCAACACTCCGTGAGACACCTGCCATCTCACCCTCCCTCCCAGCTCCAGTCATTGACATCACCCACCTCTTCTCCACAAGAAACATGACCCCAAGGAAGCCCCTGCAGCCCAGGCCTGGCTTCTGGGTGGTCTCATTCAGCCCTTCATTCTTCTTGCATCTCCTTTTCCACCTCACCCCCTCTTACCAGCCTCTTACATCTGTCTGCCCCATGCATTAACTTCCTCAAACCATTTATAGCTTTTACTGCTTTTGAGCCTCACAATAACCCCCAGCAGACAGCACTCCCTGCACCTGGGCAGATGGAGAGTGAGTCTGAAGGGTTAACTGGCTTGCTTCAGCCCATGGAGCTGGCTAGTGAAAGAAAGGGATAGAACCCAGAGATTCTGATTCTAGATCTGTCTCTTCCCACCAGAACCGTCTATGGAATCATGATCCCCACCACACCCAGCTACAAACTTATAGTTGAATCATCATATCTCAGAGTTCAAGGACCACAGGGTCCCACTCTCTACCATACACACAAGCGACCTTCATGATAACCTCTACATGGGGTGTCACAGCACCTGCTGGCGCCCTGTTCTTAGAAAACTCTTTCTCACCTCTCTGGAGCCCAGTTGTGAGGTTCCATCTCTGTTCCCACTGGCTCTGGGGATACACAAGGACAAGTCTCATCCTGTGCAAGTCACTTTACTTTTAAGAATTTGAAGCCCTTTTGTCGGTCCAGACAGGCTCAGCTGCTGTGCCAGTCAGAGTCACAGGGGCCAAAAGCCAACTTAAAAAGGGAACTTAGTGCTCATGAAACTGGGAAAATCCAGAGTTAGGGACTGGGGCATTGCAAGGGTGTAAACAACTTTTCCAGAAACTGCTCCCCTTTCTTGGCCCCTGCCCTCCTCTGCATTGACCCTATTCTCAGGCAGACACTCCTAATGTGGTAGGTAGCCCTGGGAGACCCAGCCTAAATCCCGCCAGCTCACCAAACACAGCAGGAAGAGAACTCCTATTTCCCAGTAAATCCAGCGGAAGCCATGGGTAGGGCTCTCTTTGGCTTGCCTTAGGTTAGGTGTCTACCCCTGAACCAATCCCTGTGGCCAGGAAGTCACAACTCTCTGAGTAGCCAGGCCTGGATCATGTGTCCATCCCCTGGGGTTGACCACACTCATATGACACGGAAAGAGGGCTGGAGTGGATCCCCTAAGGGAAATCATGCAGCTATTTCCAGAACAAAGGGGAATGGAATTCGAGTCAAAACGACCACTGCCCATTGTAGTTCCCATGGTTTTGAGGCCCGTCCCATCCTGGCGATTCTTTCTGACCATTCTCTAATGTGTTAGTCTTTCTCTGTGGAGTGTCGTTCAGATACTAGAACCCAATATCTCATGTGTGCTGTCAACAGCAAAGACTGGGGCCTGGGTCTACCCACTCCACCCCCGGGCACCCCATTTCATCACAGAAACAAGTATCCCAGTTGATATGATGCGACCGCACTGCAGCTTTGACTCCCTGAACCCACAGGCAACTAACACACACCCATGTCTTCCTTCCCGTGTGCTGCAGTTAGCCACCATCTCTTTTTCTGTGTTTTTACAGTACGGTTTTTAAAACAAGGGTGAATGGCTTTATATGTAACCCTATTCAATTTCAGCTTGATGGTTTCAGCTGCCTCATTCCGGCCCACTGGAATCATCTAACACAGGACAGCTTTGGCAGTCCTAAAATTGTGGTCAAAATGCCAGATGCTTCCTATCCAAGTCTTTTATTTTATATATTTTATTTTATTTTATTTTTGAGACAGAGTCTCACTCTGTCACCCAGTCTGGAGTGCAGTGGAGCAATCTTGGCTCACTGCAACCTCTGCCTCCTGGGTTCAAGCGATTCTCCTGCCTCAGCTCCAGAGAAGCTGGGATTACAGGCACGCACCACCATGCCCGGCTAATTTTTGTATTTTTAGTACAGTCGGGGTTTCACCACATTGGCCAGGTTGGTCTCAAACTCCTGACCTCAGGTGATCCACCGGCCTCGGCCTCCCAAAGTGCTGGGATTACAGGTGTGAGCCACTATACCCAGCCCCAAGCCTTTGATTTTAAAAATGGGTTGAACAGGACAGGGTTAAGAGCAGAGTCCTGTGGTTTGCCTCTAGACACTTCATCTAGGCTCACATCAATCCAATGATCAGCCCTCTTTAGTGAGAATAATAATAGCACCTATCTCATAAGATGGATGTGACAATTAAATGAGTTAATATTTGTAAAGCTCTTAGGCTTAGCACATAACAAGTAATATGAAAGCATTTGGTAAACAAACTGGGACTTGATAGATCAAGAGCTATGAACTGAGGCCGGGCGCGGTGGCTCACGCCTGTAATCCCAGCACTTTGGGAGGCCGAGGCGGGTAGATACGAGGTCAGGAGATCAAGACCATCCTGGCTAACACGGAGAAACCCCGTCTCTACCAAAAATACAAAAATTAGCCAGGCGTGGTGGCCGGCGCCTGTAGTCCCAGCTACTCAGGAGGCTGAGGCAGGAGAATGGTGTGAATCTGGGAGGCGGAGCTTGCAGTGAGCCAAGATTGCACCACTGCACTCCAGCCTGGGCAACAGAGTGAGACTCTCTCTCAAGGAAAAAAAAAAAAAAAAAGAGCTGCGAACTGAAACTGTTATTATTTAACCCACATTTCTGTATGAGGCCCCAAGTCCATTATGATAGATTTTATCAAACACTTCAAAATATAAGAATATGAAGTCTCTGACATTCCCCTCATCAATCTTATGAAACAGGAAAGTGAGGCTTGGCTGGGATGAGCAATGCAGGCCCGTTGTGACCCACATACTTTTCTATGAGCTCCAAAGCCATCTATTTGATAAGCACACTGTTCTGAAACTGCCTGTGGAGCATCTGTCTTACGGATCAAGAATATGTGGCACCACCTATTAGGAATTTGGAAAAACATAGTATTAGTGGCTCTCTCTTTGGGGTCAAAGTCATGACTCAATCAAAATGAGTAAATTCAGTTCTCTTAAGGCCGAAAGCAACATTCCCCAGTCAGGACCCTTCCCTAGATCACTCACCAAGCTGGGCCTTGGTCTCTAGCAGTAGATGAAGGGCCTGGTATCAGTTTACAATACTGTGACTTACTTGCAAGTAACAAGTACAAGTAGCACTGACTTAGCCATAGTGGCTCAACCACAAGGATTTGTGCATGCTGAATACCAAGAAGTCCAGAGGCAGCAGGTCTTAGGCTTGGTTTGGCAGTTCAAGCATATAACAAGGACCTTTGTGCTTGTTTCTGTTTCGCCATCCTAAGCAGCTGGTTTGTGCCCCATAGTCACAAGCCAACTGCTGCAGGTCTAAGCCTCATGGCCTTCCAAAGAAAGGGGAAAGATCAGAACCAGTGAATTCTTCTCTCTAAACTTTTCTGTTGAGAAACAAAATATCTCTTCTAGAAACCCCCAGTAGACTTGCATCATTAGTTAATATATCATTAGCCAGAAGAAGTTCACACAACTTCCCCTAACTACTTGGGTGGCTAGAAACGAGAGTATCTAGGCCAATTTGTAAGTGGTAGCGAGGGAGAAATGGGCTAGGAATGGCTGCTAGGTGGCCAACATGCAAGGCCCACTGCAGTGTCCTTGGCAAGATTGTAGTCTTGGTCCGAGACCCACCAAAGATCAGCTGAGCTCCAGGGCTGAGGCAGCAGATGTGAGCCCTGGAAGGAACCTTGAATTCATCTTGCCTAAGGCCCACATTTGGCCACAGTAAAACAGAGGCCCAAAGAGAAAAGGCTTGTCCAAGGCCACACTGCTAGTTAGAGTTGAACATTGTCTTTATCTGGAAATGAGGATAATAATATGTATTAGTCAGGTAGGGGTTCTTTAGAGAAACAGAACCAACAGGAGCTTTCTATATCTATATCTACGGGAAGAGAGAGAGAGACAGAGAGAGAGAGAGAGATTTTATTGATTTTAAGGAATTAACTTATGCAATTGTGGGGGTTGGCAAGTCTGAAACCTGTAGGGCAGATTAGCAAGTTGGAGTTTCAGGTAAGAGTTGATGTTGCAGTCTCGAGTCTGAATTCTGCAGGGCAGCAGGCTGAAAACTCAGGCAGGATTTCTATGTGGTAGTTTTGAGAATTTCTTCTTCAGGAAACCCCAGTCTTAAGGCCTTCACCTGATTGGATGAGGTCCATCCACATTATGGACAGCAATCTGCATTACTCAAAGTCCACTGATTTAAATGTTAATCACGTCTTAATACATAGCTTCACAGCAACATCCAGACTGGTGCTTGACCAAACAACTGGGCACTATAGCCTTGCCAAGTTGACACATGAAATTAACCATCACAGAATAGTACTTGTCTCAGGAGGTTGTTATGATGATCAAATGAGTTGATGCTTGTACAGCTCTCAGAACAAGGCCTGGCACAGAATCAGTACTATTAAAGTGTTTCCTAAATAAATAAATATGTCAACAAGCTAACAAAAAACAGGGACTGGAACCAGGCCTTCTACCACTATGGTTTCCAAACTGGGTACCAAGGTGCCCCTGGGCACTACAGCGCACACACAGAGGTACTTAGGATATTTTAAATTTTCCAGGCAAACACAGCAATACTCAATAGCCATTGAACACCACAGGCCCTACTAGCTCAAGGCAGTTCACAGCTTTAATATTAGATCTTGATACATTTTTTTCAGTGATACCATATCTTTGAGAAGGTGGGTTTTTGGTGGCCGTTGTGATAAAAATCAACATGGAACCCAAAATGAGGGTGGCGGTGTCCAATCTGAGAGGTTGTGTCTCAACAGATTCACGCATCCCATTGCTATGTAATTACAGTAAAGAATAAAATTAGGAGCCAGGCACGGTGGCTCACGCCTGTAATCCGAGCACTTTGGGAGGCCGAGACAGGTGGATCACAAGGTCAGGAGATCAAGACCATCCTGGCTAACACATGGTGAAACCCTGTCTCTACTAAAAATACAAAAAAATTAGCTGGGCATGGTGGTGGACGCCTGTAGTCCCAGCTACTCAGGAGGCTGAGGCAAGAGAATGGCATGAACCCGGGAGGCAGAGCTTGCAGTGAGGCAAGAAAATGGCATGAACCCGGGAGGCAGAGCTTGCAGTGAGCCAAGAGCATGCCACTGCACTCCAACCTGGGTGACAGAGCGAGACTCCGTCTCAAAAAAAAGCATTAAATTAAATTCAATTAAATTATTTTTTAAAAATCAAGCTCAGTTGGGCTCAGCTGCTCATGCCTGTAATCCTAGCACTTTGGGAGGCCGAGGTGGGTGGATCGCTTGAGCCCAGGAGTTCAAGACCAGCCTGGGCAGCATGGAGAAACCTTGTCTCTATTAAAAATACAAAAATTAGCTAGGTGTGGTGGCACGTGCCTGTAGTCCCAGCTACTCGGGAGGCTGAAGTGGGAGGATCACTTGAGCCTGGGAGGTCGAGGTTGCAGTGAGCTGAGATCACACCACTGCACTCCAGCCTGGGCAACAAAGTGAGACCCTGTCTCCAAAAAAAAAAAAAAATCAAGCCCAAACCTGGGTGGTGGGGTCCCTTTCCCTCCCTCAGGCACATGTGGATACTGTTTTTTCAAAGGGCTAATTAGTTGTTATGAATACTTGAGTTGTTTGGACCTAGTTACTTAAAATAATAATAATAATAATAATGTTCGGGCATTTCTTTTATTTTTCTTTTTCAGACAGGGTCTTGCTCTGTCGCCCAGGCTGGAGTTGCAGCCACATAATCATAGCTCACTGCAGCCTCGACCTCCCTGGCCCAAGCAATCCTCCCACCTTGGCCTCTCAAAATGCTGGGATTACAGGTGTGAGCCACCGCCCCCAGCCAGGAGTTTCTTTAGACTTAGGGCACCATGAAAAAATTACCGTGATGCAAAGAACTGGGAAAGTTTGAGATCCTCTGTTGTTTATTCTACTCTACAACACTTGTCCTTAATGTACATTAACCCCGTCCACACCCAGATATCCTGAAAGACAACAGGAAGGGCAAGGTCCAAGGGGCTTCACTTAGCCAGTGGTTGAACACAGGTCTGTGGGATGCCTTTATGCAGCAGACTCTGTTCTCTGTGCTTGAGACAGAGCAGTGAGTGAGACTGAATTGGCACCCTTCTTCATGGAGCTTCCCTCAGTGGGATGGAAAGAACCAATCAGCCTTGGCTGGTTGGCATCCACGTGTGCCCTAGATAGGGGAAGGGACCCCCACCACCCAGGTTTGGGCTTGACTTTTTTTTTTTTTTTTTTTTTTTGAGACAGGGTCTCACTCTGTCACCCAGGCTGGAGTGCAATGGTGTGATCTCAGTTCAGCTCACTGCAACCTCGACCAACCCAAGGCTGGTTGGGGCAGGTGTGGTGCTACTTTAGATTGAGCTGCAACTGCAAGATCCCTAGGGAGGACAGAACATTCCAGGCAGAATAAAAGTCTGGCCTGCCTCCGGTGACATCAGGAGAAGTAGGGCCAGCAGGCCCAGGGAAGCAAGCTCCAACCCCGGACTCCCTCGCCCTCTCCGGGACAGCACTCAGATGTCGAGCAGAGTCCCCTCCTGCATCCCTTTGCTGGCCCCAACCCCCACCTCGAACAGGGTCAGGCTCAGCAGAAGCTCAATTCTGTCTGGGAAAGGGGGTGCCATGCAGTTCTGCGGTAAGAGAGGGAGACAGACAACCCCTCCCTCCTCAGCCTCACCAGCTGGGCCTGTGCCTCTGCAAAGCTGCAGTGCACAGCCCCCCTACCCTCCCCGCATCTGCCGTTTAACGATGATGGAAGTTGCTGTCAGTGTGTGGCGACAGTAATAAACACTCTTCTTAATAACACAGGGTGTACCTCTTATTAAAATGAATGGACTCCCACGGCGCAGCCTGGGGCCGCATGGCTGGCAGCCAGCCGGGGACAGCAGCCCTCAACTGGAGCAGTTTATCTGCTGTAATTACTGGCAGGACAACACAGTGGAGGGTTCTGGTGATGGGCTGGGAATGATTCAAGGCCCAGGGCATGCTCAGAGACATACCCACACACCTGGAGTTGCTCACACCACTCTCCAGAAGGACCTCAGTATCCCCCCAGTCCTCAGACCAAGAACATAACTACCCATATCCAAGAGGCACATACACACCTATCCAGACACACACACACGTCTGGAGTTGACACAGGAATGCTCTGATGGGACTCATGTATGCCTGATGTGGCAAAATAGCAGGAAGATGAACAAGGCCCCTCGTGCTGCCATGCCCTCGAGGGTGGCCCAGTGCCATAGGTTATATGCATAAATGCAGGCAGGTGTGTGTGAGGGCAAGGTCCTAGAACTCAGAGAGCGCAGGCAGAGGTGCACGGGGAAGTGCCAGGAACAAGGTGATGATGCACTCGATGGTATTGGCGATCTGGGAGACACGGTCCCTAGAGACCTTGTGTGTTTGTGACATAAAGTAATGGGCAATTAGGTGCCCCCATTATATGGTCTCAAGACACCATGGCATTTAACAAAATTACAATTCATCATTTTGTGATTCCTTATTTAGTCCATGGAAGGAGGGTACAAATGGATGAGTGGGTGAATTAGTGAATTCACAAAAAGTCTTGCAGGGGAACCTGATGACGTGAGAGGGCCTTTCTGAGAAGTCTGAGATTCACACACAAACACCCATACTCACGCACAGATACATACACATACACACACAAACACATACACATGTAGACATGCACACAATGCATGGACGTACACATGCACGGGTGCACACACGCACATGCACAGACAGACACACAGTGCCCACAGATACCTGCCCAGGCACACACACGTTCATCCACCCACATCTGACAAACCCCTTTATCTGGCTGGCTCCGTCGCGATGCTAGAAACAAACACACTGTCCTCAGCTCAGGCAGGTGACCTGAGACTCACCGTCAGAGACCTGCTTTTGAAGGTATGTTTCCTCTCTGGAAGTGAGAAAAGGTGTTTTGTGAGGACTCAAGATGAAGGGACATGGGGGTCCCATGGCCTGCTTTCCTTTTGGCTTCGATTCAGGCCTCTGGCTGCCCAGCCTGCCCATGATGCTGCTGAGGCCTCTTCAGGCAGAGGCCCTGCCCTGCCTTCCCGGAGCCCAGTGAGTGTGTCCAAACGTGGAGTTTCCTTGTTCACAGGGAGCCAGAGATTCTTCAGGACTCTCCATGAGGAGGGGCCTCCCACAAGGCAATGGTTTCCAGCTCCCTCCATGGAACCCAGAGCTTTCCAGAATTCCTGTCTGAGGAGGCAGAGTGTGTCTGTGCGTGTGCGTGCGTGTGTGCGTGTGCACACGCATGTGTGTGTGTGTGTGCATGCATGCATATGCGATGGGGACAGGACTGGGCTCCTTGCTCCCCAGTTGTGCAACTCTCCTTTTCCAACACAACACTGGAGCTATGCAAAAGAATTTCTCAAAGGGTGCTGCTGCTTAAAAATATGTAAAAATTGAAAAACACCAGACTAGCTGGATAACAACCCCAAGGCACATCTTGCTCATCTCAGTCCATGCTGGGCAACATCAGAAGCCAGGAAGAGGAGGTTTTTGACCCACGAAATGCTAATAAAATCTCTGATTTCAAGCTGTCAGTAAGCACTTCCTCTGTGCCAAACCTGGGCTATGTTCTTTAAAGAGGTCATGTCATCTAATGCCCACATCAGCCCTATTACAATTTCCATTTTATAAAGGAACTCAGGCAAGTTAGGCACTTTGCCTAAGGCCACATAGAGAGTAATTAATAGCACCAGGATTTACACCCAGGCCATCTGACCCTAGAGCCCAAGTTCCCCATCAGTACATAACACTGTCCTTGGAGGTAGCAAATGCATGAACTTGACCTCATGAGCCCCACCTATAACCTGCAACCTGTTGAGTTCATTAGCCTGGTATTCTCGGAAATTATTGCTTAAAACTGAAGCTGTTGAGTGAGAGGGATGCTCTCACACTGACCTCCTAGCACGTGATGGGCGCAATGTCAGGGGAGCTAGTCCCACACCTACCTGGCCCATCGGGGCTGGACTTCTGCTTCCAGCTGTGATCACTAGCTTGTATCTGGCCAACCAAGCCTCCAGGAGAAACTAGTAAAGCTGGATCTAAAACCAGAAAATATGCAACATGGATAAACCTTAAGGATATTGGGCTAAGTGAAACAAGCCAGTCACAAAAAGATAAATACAATACTGTATTATTAGAGTATATGAGATATGTATAGTAGTCAAATTTACAGAGTTTCTGCTTTGCAAGATGAAAAAGTCCTGGAGACTGGTTGCACAACAATGTGAATACACTTAATATAACTGAATTGTACACTTAAAAATGGGTAAGATGATAAATTTTGTGTTGTGTATTTTGTCAAAGTTAAAAAAAAAAAAAAAGAAAAGAAAACCCGAAAACAAAAAGCAACACCCACTTGAAGGCAGCAGAGAGCTACTATAGGAGCAAGGACTGGAAGGGCCAAGGCCCCAGAGAAAAAGGAAGCACAGAGGGGTGAGCCTGACATTTAGATCTGCTCTTCCACTAAGGCATTTGCTGATTCATAAGCAGGCTCTTTCCTGAAGGGGCTGAGTTCACCCATTGCCCCTGCACAAGAGCAAATGGAATGAAGGGGTTTGGAACAGTTAAGCCTCCAGGAAGTGTCCCCAGAGAGGGTTTTGGAGTTGCTGGTGTGGGCAATCTGAATGACAAAGCTCCGACATCTCTCTGCATCTCTGCTGCAGCCACCACACACCCTGCAGCCTTACCCAGCAGGCTGGGCCCTCCCCAGACATCCCATACCCATGGACAGGTCAGCCTGTGACGGAAGATGGAACTGCATTCGCCATTCCCCTTGTCCTCTTCCTCTTCTTCCCTCCTTCGTCCTTCCCCACAATTTCTCAGGAGGGGCTCACCCTTCTCATGAGCCACAGCTCTGGTTCCTCTGGCTTTGTACTTCTGCTACACTTAACTTGACCCCAAACCACATGAAGCTCTCAGCTCCAAGTCAGCACAGGACCAGCTCAAACACACAATTTCATCACAGCTCAGGTGGCTCCAGCACCAGCCTTTGTGGCTAGGTGATGAGGAGGCAGGAGACACGTGGTGGAGACACTCTAATAATCATCGAATGATGCACAGTTGGCGCACACAGTGTGAGAAGGATTTTATGTCCATTATCTCATTTCATGCTCACATTAGGGTGATAGAGTATTGCCCCACTTTACAGATGAGGAAACTGAGGCCCTGAAATAGTTCACGAGTTGCCCAAGGTCTCAAGATGGTAACCATGAGCCATGCTGCTTCTGCTGCTGCTGGAGGAGCTTGCTCCTGATCCCCTAGGGTTCCCTCCCATGAGAAAACAGAAGAGCAAGTGGCTCCATTTGGGATGAGGGATAGGGACTCTAGTGACCTCTGTTGTACCTTCAGGCAGCTGTGATGTATGGAGTGGTGAAGTGGCTGGGCAACACCACTGCCATCCCAGCTTCCCAGATGAGAGCCCAAACAACTGGGCCCATTGGACCCTGGGTCAGCGGGAGCAATGTCTGCTTCTAGAGATGTCCAATAGACGATTTGGCCACTGGGCCATCTGTGATGGCCCTCACTTTGGGCCCCTCCAACATTTGTGTTCCAGTGGCTTCAAGGGAAACCTTGAACGACACAGTTTTGAAGGAGGATATGGGCTGTGGTCAAGAAAGAGACAGTCTCACCTACATTGCATTGACGACCTTGATAATAATAACAAAGGCACTGCCTGTTGAGTACCCCCTACGAACCAGGTATCTGCTATGATCTTGTACATTCTTTGTTGCTAGAATTGAGATTCACGGACCAGCGGACCAGCAGCGTCGACATCACCTGGGAGCTCATTAGAAATGCAGGACCTCAGGCTCCACCCAAGACCTGTTGAGTCAGAATCTGCATTTTAAACAAGATTCCTGTTGATTCGCATGCATGGTGAGGTTTGAGAAGCACGGCTTTCCTGCTTGTTTCTATCAGTCCTTAGTTCAACATTCCCAGGAAGTGGTTTTCTTTCCTTCAGATTTTACAACTGACAAAACAGACCCAGAGAGGTAGAAATGGTTGTCAGAGATCACACAGGCAGGAAATGGCTGTGTTGGGAGAACTGGCATTCAAACCCAGGGCAGTATGGCTTCCAAACCAAAAGAAGCGCTGGCAGTGTTATATGAGCTGAGTCTCGGATTCTAAGCTTTTGCTTCCATTGTTTGCTGTCTCCTCCCTCAGGCTACTCCCTGGAAGTCCCCTGAAGCTCCCTTGGGGATAGAACAAGAATAAGGGCGGAAGGACCCCAGCTCATTTGGGTACTGCAGCCCCTTATGGGAGGCGCTGGGAAGGCAGCCACTCAGGATGCCCCCAGGAGAAAGACTCTCTTGCTGCCCTCTCCTGCAGCTCCCCAGTCTGGGCCTCCGACATGATCCCAGACAGCCAGGGAGCAGCCAAGAACCTGCTGGAAAAAGTCAGCTCCCAACGAGCCTGAGGCATCTGCGTACCTGCCTGGGGACCTGGGCGGGAATGTGTCCCGCAGCCCCTCCCTCGGGAAGCAAGAAAGCTGTGCTCTTCCCTGCCAGCAGCATCTCTGCCCGTGGGGCTGCAGCACACGACATGTCTCATTTCGAACCCCTCAATCTTTCCCATTAGCTAAGATTGCAGGTTCAGAGCACAAACATCGTCGCCTGTCACTGCCGATGCACGTCAGCCATCAGCCAGGAATGGTCTCGTCTCCTTCAATCCATCATGCAGGGTTTCTATCGCTCTTGCTACAAGACCACTCTGTGAGCCCTTCCCCCAGCTCCAGGCCCGGGGGACGTGCTGCATCACAAGGTGGCAGAGATGAGGAGGCAGGAGCGAGGGGTAGAGCACTGTGATCGTCACCTGGGGCAGGGGCCTCTCAGGAGGTGAGCCCCTGAAGAGCCCATGCTAGACCACAGAGCAGAGGAAGCAGATGAGGAAGAGGAGGGAGCCAAGGCCCCCACCCTCCCAAGGCCTGGGGTCTATATATGTCTGCTACCTCCGAAGATATATTAATGTTATGGGATCTCTGGGGTGTCGATTTTTCTGACAGGAAACCTCTGGGGCTGTGGCGCCTTTGCCCGAGTTCTTGTCCTGTGTCCAGGAAGAATGAGATGATGCGCAGACAAACGAAGGGTGAAGAAGAGTTTTATGTAGTGTTAGAACAGCTCAGAGGAGTGGGTAGCTCCTTTCTGTAGGCAGGTTGTCCAGTCAAGTGTTCAGCTCTTAGCAGAGAGAAGGCTCTGGAGAGGGTGGCTCCTCTCTGAAGGCAAGTCATTTGGATGTCTCTGAAGGTCTCTGAAGCTCTCAGCAGAGAGGGTAGCTCCTCTCTGCTGGTGGGTTGTCCCTGCAGCTCTCATTGGGGAGGGTATCCCTCTCTGCAGCTGGCCAACCCATCCCGTCATCTCTCTGCCCTCTTCATCCTCTGGCCAACGCCTGCCCTGCTCTGGCTGAGCCCAGGGCTTTTATGGACCTCAGAGGGGAGGAAGTATGTGCCAGTTGGTCCACTGATGGCCACGAGTGGGCCAGAAGAGGCACCACGAGCCCCCACTGCAGTCCTCGGGAAGTCGGCAGCCCGGCTCCCAGGCTTCAGGCCCTCCCTGGCCTGAAGGTGGGGCCTTATTGGGGACCCATCCCCTTCCACCCAGGAATCAATCTGCCTCCCGCTGCCATTCATGGCCCCCCAGGCTTGGCCCAAACCCCTGCTCCAAGAATGGAGCAGGGGCCAGGAGTGGAGAGAGGCCAAGCCGCAGGAAAAGACATCCCTGAGCCTGCAGGGATTGGGAGGGTCCTTCCTGGAGCCCCCAGGGTACACCTGGGTCCTGCACCTGGCAGGGTGGCCACAGCTGGGCCCTGGAGCTCCTGCCCCACCAACTTGGAAGGGGCAGGGCTCCCACTTGTCCCTGGCCCCTGCCTGCTTCCTAGAGCAGGAGGCCCAGGTCTGCAGCCACCACCACTGCACCCAGGAAGGCAGATCCTGCCTGTTCCCAGCTCCCCCAAGAGCACACGGAGGGAGGCTCAGATCCACAGCTGCAGTTTGGGCAGCTATAGCCCCACCCAGTAGGGCGGGGCTCCTGCCTGCTCCATAGAGCAGGAGGCCTGGGTCTGCAGTAGCAGTTTGGGCGGCTGCAGCACCACGGGGACCTACTGTCCCAACTCAGAAGGAGTGGGGTTCCCACCAGCTCCATGGAGTGCACAGCCCCAGCCACGCAGCTGGGTGTGATGGCAGCAGCCACTGCCATCATTAATAGTTACTATTTTTAGAATTGCAGATCCCAGGGCTTCACCCCCTGGCCATTCTGACTCAGCAGCAGCTAGGTTGGGACTGGGAATCTGCATTTTTTGAGACTGAGTCTGGCTCTGTTGCCCAGGCTGGAGTGCAGCGGTGCAATCTCGGCTCACTACAAGCGAATCTCCTGCCTTAGCATCCCGGGTAGCTGGGATTACAAGCACCCACCACCACACCCGGTTAATTTTTGTTTTTAGTAGAAACAGGGTTTTACCACGTTGGCCAGGCTGGTCTCGAACTCCTGATCTCAAATGATCGGCCCGCCCTGGCCTCCCAAAGTGCTGGGATTACAGGCGTCAGCCACTGCGCACGGCTGGAATCTGCATTTTAACAAGGCTCCTCCAGGAGTATCTGAGGCAGTTGGTCCCTGAACCCCAAAGCTGAAGAACTTTGCTGATGGAGCACTGGATCAGTTAGGTTAGGCTAAGTGGCACTGTCATAACAAACAGCCTCCAAATCTCAGTGGCTTAAAACAGTCACCATTCATTTATGTTCAGGCCCCAAGGCCAATCCAAGGAGGGTCTGTCCACTGTGGTTACCCAGAGACCCCAGCTGATAGCACTCCATCTTGACCACAAGTCTGTGATGGCCAGCTGTCGAGGAGCAGAGCTGGAGGGCCTCACATCAGCAAATAAAGACACCAGCATGGGAGCCACCTGAGCACTTCTACCCACAACCCACCGGCTGGAACTAATCACAGGACCTGCCTAACTTCGAGGGGCTGGAGAAAGACTATCTTCCCATATGCCAGGAAAGAGAGAGGGATGGGATATGGGTGAATGGCTGGAATGCCTGCTGCACACACTAAGGCCACAGGCCATACCATGCCTGGTGAAAGCAGACCCACTGGCTGCGGTAGGCAGAAACACAGTGGAGGCCCGGCCCACTCCCCACTTCACAGCACTGGATAGTCTTCTGAGCTCATTCGCATGCATTAGCTCGTTACTGATTCTCACTGCAGCAAAATTGTTTACAAATGTGTATTACTTAGATTATATTCACTTAGCTTTCAGGGCAGCTAAGTGGATACTAGCCCAAGGCCACACAGTTAGTTAAAAGGAAGGACTAACTTAGTACCCAGGCGTTCGGGCTCTGAATCCAGGGCTTTTCCAGTTAGGTTCAGGCCAAGGCAGGGCCAGGACAGCTGGTTGCCTTGAACTTTGTGTTTGTGAGCTTGGGCTGGGCTTCCCCCAGTGAGCTGGGTCCCTGTACCCTTGGAATTCTTGCGTTTGGTCTGTGCAGGTACAACCCTGTGCCCTAAATCCTATGATGCTGGAGGCAGCCCAAGAGATACTTGCCTTTCTTTCTCCTCCACCTACCAGGAAAAGGGAGTGTCCATTGGTCCCCAGCCACTAGTGATCTCTCCATCAGGACTTAGCCCACCTCCCCGAGGCTGCAGGCAGAACACATGCCAACATTAAATTTCAAGGGCAGTGGGGAACACAGGTGAAGCAAATGAGTGATGTGTCTGGGCTTAAGTGGGGTTGCCATGGGGTGTTAGGGAAGAGCACTGGAAGGAGGTTGGGGCTGGGGACAGGGACTTTTCCAATCTTTGAGAAGTTAAAGGGATGAAAAGTTAGTCTAAGTTGACTCTACTTTTACCTTGTGGTTGTATAACGTAGGCTAGAAGGGGCTGGTGAAAACAGGACAATCTGGTACACAGCGCACATTCTCGAGTGTTCCTAGGGCTCCAGGAAACTGCTGAGGCCCTCTTCGTGCAGGGCTGAGCTAGGCAGGTTGCCCCTGGCCTGGAGCGGGACTGCCATAGGCATGAACTGGGGCACTCACCACCCCGCCTGCACAGTGAGGAGTCTCTTATGAACACACGCAGTGGAATGTGGTCACTTCTGTAGTTTTCATCTTAAAAGAGGTTTGCACCCCCCAACACATGCTTTTTATTTCCTCCTAGAAAAATGCAATGCGGAGACTCTGGGGTTTCCAAATCCACAGAGAAGGCTAGGCTATCCCTAGCCACTCGTGCCCTTCAACCTCAAATGGAATTTCCCCTTTTCTGCCTTTACTGGGTATCCCCACTCCCACCTGATTGTCAAGAGTGGAGTCTGAAGAGAAGTGAGGCTGGGCCTGCTGACTCCACATCAAGGTACTCACAGGGTGTCTGGCCTCAGGTCATGAAACTGCACAGACACTGGACAGGGTGTGTGCTATTTGTCCTCTCCAAAGCTCATGTTGAAATCTGACCCGCAGTGTTGCAGCTGGCGCCAATGGGAGGTGTTTGGTTGATCGGGGTGCGTCCCTCATGAATGGATTGGTGCCAGTTCTCTGTAATGGGTGAGTTCTTGCCCTAATATTTCTTGCCAGAGCTCTCCCAAGGAGAGCTGGTTGTTAAAAAAAAAAAAAAAAAGAACCTGGCATCTCTCCCCTTTCTCTCTTGCTTCCTCGATCTCTGCACACACTGGCTCCCCTTCCCCTTCCGCCGTGAGTGGAAGCAGCCTGTGGCCCTCACCAGAAGTAGATCCTGGCACCATGCTGCCTGTACAGCCTGCAGAACTGTGAGCCAAATAAACCTCTTTTTTTTCTTTCTCTTTTATCACTGCTTCAGTCAAGGGAAACCTCTTTTTTTAATAAATTACCCAGCCTCAGGTATTCCTTTATAGCAACACAAATGGACTATGACTGTGGGGGTACAGATTTCTAGTCCAGAGACCTGGGGTAGCGTCCCTGGCATAGCTATTTCCTACTTATGAAGTCATTGTAAATTTGTTATTCTCACTGACGTCCTTACCTATAAAGTAGAACAACAATAACTCTATTTTCTAAGCCTTTTCAGTTCATTCCTCCGACAGATACTTATTGAGCACCTACCTAGTATGTGCCAGACACAATTCTAGGGGCTGGGAGCACAAGAGAGGGCAGGACAGACAGGACTTCAGTTCTTGTGCTCACAGGGCTTTAGTAACGAGTAGACAATAGCCAAGTAAACAAAGGGGTAATTACAGTTGTGGTAGGTGCCATGAGGAGATAACCATGATGACAAAATAAAGGGTAAGGAGTTGGAGCTGGGAGGTGGCTCATTTAAATTAAGAGGTCAGAGAATCTCTCTCTGAGGTGGCAAGATCTGTGCTCCAACTAAAGGTGCCTGTGAAGATCAGGGGCAGTGCATCCAGGCTGAAGGAAGTGCAAAGTCCCTGTGGCAGGAAAGGGCTTGGCAGGCACAGTGGGTGATCAATGGGATTGGGATTGGGAGAAACAGAATGCCAAATGAGACCACCCCAGGAGGGAGGTGAGCCCTGATCCAACACAGGTCTCACAGAGTCTGCTTAGGAACTAGTAGGTGGAAATTGGGGTCTCCTGCCCTCAAACCTGTCTCCCTGCCCCTGCAGCTGGCTCAGGAAGAAGTTGGAAGTGTTAAGTAGAGTCCCGGGATGGCCAGGCTGCCCTGGGACCACAGGAACCCTGCCACCTGCACCCAGGCAAGCTCAGATGCTTGGTCTGAAGTGGCTTATAGGAAGGGAACAGCTCAGCCCCCTTGGGAAAGGGTGGTGGCTCTCACCTGAACTCCACAGGAGGAGATACCTCAGGTCCTGACAGGACCTCTGTGCATCTTGGTGCATGGGCTTGTGGGGTGGTCTGCTCCCACACCCAGCCTACCTTCTTTCACAGTCACCTGCTCTGGATCTCTGTGGCTCCCAGCTCTGGTATCCCCTTCCCAGGTCACTCTCTTCATTACCATTCTCTGAAGCCATTTCCCTCCCATGGTGGGCAGGAACACCAGATCCCTTCCATGCTCAGGAGCAGAGCTTCCAGATCAAAAGCCAGGCCTGCATCTGGCCAGCCTGGGTGCCCTAACACACAGTCAGTGGGATCAAGTGTTTGCAATCCATACTTTCTGGGAAGGTCTGGGAAATACTTTGTCTACAAAGGGAGCAGGGCCCTGATTAAAGACAAAAGGTTGAGCATGGCTCTGGCCCGTAGGTAAGGAGGATGGTTCTGTACATTGAAGGGCCAGTCTGCACAGGCCCAGGTGCCAGCCTCCCAGATTACCATTGCCCAGTCATCATTCTTGGCCCTGGAGGTCAGAGAGGCAGGCCAGAGAAGAGATCTCAGGTGAAGTGCAGTGGGACCCGGAGGAGGTCTTTGATGGGCAGTTCCCCCTCCCCCATCCTAGGGCGCCATAGCCTGAGGAAGACATTCTGACCTGGGGGTGACCAGACTCTTTCCTCTGCAACTCTTGCCACTCTGCTGGGATTTCCACAGCCCTGAATGTCCTCTACAAGCTTGGCCTTGATCTTTCCCTTGCCCTAACTCTGGTTCTGATTTGCAGGGTCTTCTAGAGTGGAGACTAAATCTTACAGGACTTCTAGGTCTCTTTGGGGCCTTTCACAGTGCCTGGCATGCTGGAATCAGCCCCCCAACCCCCATGGAGTGACAGTGACAGGGAGGATTCTCTCCGGCTGGTCAAGTCTGGGGAGAGGGTGGTTGCTGTGATCATATTTTGGGAAGGGAGGGGGGCAATTTATGAGACCTCTAACATTTCTGGGGCTTGAAAACACGACAAAATGTCTTCTGATGATTTCTCAGTTGGAAACATCTTCCTCCCCAGCTGACAATGACCAGGAGGCCAGGGAATGAGGCATATGTCAGGCCATTCCCAGGCTGGAAGCTTAAGCTACCGTTCACTCATGCAACAAATTTGTATCTAGCAACTACGATATGCACTTCCAGGGACAGGGAGATAAAGTGAACAGAATAGACAAAAATCCCTGCTCTTATGAGGATGGTATTCTACTGGGGGAGTCAACTAATAAATAAAAAGGAAAATATCCAGTAACAATAGGTGTCATACACAAGTTTTTAATGGAATGAGGTGACAGTGAGTGACTGGATGACTGTGGTAGCCTGGGTGGTCAGGGAATCTGAAGGAAAAAAAGTGGGCTTAGGAAAGTCAAGGGAATAACATTCCAGATAAAGGAATGGGCTAGTGCAAAGGCCCTGGGGTGGGAAGATGCTTGGCATGTTGGAGAAACAGATGTCAAGTAACAGTGTCTTGCATTTCTTGATTGCTTATGATGTGCCAGGCAATGTCCTAAGCCCTTTCGATCTCATTTAATTTTCATAACAACCCTACAGAGTAGGGGCTTTATCATCCCCATTTCATAGATGGCAAGAATGAGACAGAAAAAGGTTGTCCAAGGTCACACAACTGATAAATGGCAGAGCTGAGATTCAGAGGCTATGCTCTTGACCACCATGTAGGGCAGCCCAAGGTAAGAGCAGCCCTGCAGAAATAGATTTGGGAGCCTTCAGCATAGATGGTATTGGAAGTGCCAGGACTGGACGAGGAGACGTTCAGGTTGATGCACAGAGAGGGGAGGGAGAAGAGAGAGCTGCGGTCTGAACCCTGGGCATCCCAGCATTCAGACAGGGAGCAGAGCCTGCGAAGGAGCAACCAAGGAGGTGGAGGGAAACCACAGCAGGGGTTGTCATGGAAACCAAGGAGAAGGTCATTTCAGGAAGAAGGGGAGGTCCGTGGTCACCTGTGTCAAATGCTACAGAGAATTAGCTGGGTGTGGTGGCATGCGCCTGTGGTCTCAGCTATCTGGGAGGCTGAGGTGGGAAGATCACTTGAGCCCAGGAGTTCAAGGCTGCAGTGAGCCAAGATTGCACCCCTGCACTCCAGCCTGCGTGACAGAACGAGACCCTGTCTCAAACAACAACAACAACAACAAATGCTGCAGAGAGGCAAAATAAGGTGGAAACAGAGAAGTGACCATTGGACTTGGCATCAAGCGGGTCACTAGTGACATAGAGGGGAGCAGTTTCAATGGAATGGCGGGGTCAGAAACACCACTGGAATGGGCTGACAGAAGAATGTGAGAAAAGCACTTGGAGAGAGCACTTGCAGCTGGCTCTGAGGTGGAGTGAAAGGAACACTCCCGGACCAGGAGTCCAGAGACTTCCCCATGCACTAGCTCTGCCGTCTGAGTCTCAGCTTCCTCATCTGTAAAATGGGGCTGACGATCATACCTACTTCACAGGACTACAGTGAGGAATCAAGTGAAAGATAGGAAAATGCTTTGATAACCGAAGATCCCTGCAAAGACACAAGATATTTTAGGGCTCTCGAATGACTTCCTTCACATAGGAGTCACGATTCGCTCCCCTCCCTCTTCTCTGCTTTAACCATCTGTCTCTCCAATCTGAAATCTGTTCCATCTGACCCCTAGCTGACCAGAGCCTTCCCTCTCCCTCTGTCCTGCTGCAGCCTCCTCCTCCCAACCCTGGCTTGGCTCTGGGGGGCTCAGTGGAATATGCAAATGTCTCCCCAACCAGCTGGTGTCTGCCTCCCAGAAACACATGTTCCTAAGCCTCTCTGCCTCACCAGGGAGGGGGAACCAGAGCCTCTGCCCATGCCACAGCCCAGAGAGGACATATTACCGAGCAAGGAACAACACAGCAAGCAGATGGGGAAGGACTGCTAGGCGCTGGGGAGGAAGGCAGGAGAGGAGCAGGTGAGCGGGTGTGGGGCAGGGCGGGCGTGCATGAGGGGCTGGAGCATCAGGCAGTGCCTGCACGCCACAGGGCACACTGTCCACCAGGACGCGTTCATCTCTACTGGGCCATCTTTGGGGCTTCTTGGCACAATTTTGAGACCCCTGCCTCCAAAGTCTATTAGGTTTGCAAAATTAGCCTTGCCCACATCAAAAATATTTATATTATAAAATACTTAAGACCTATACAAAGGTTTCTAGAATAATATGAAGGACTCACACATCCACCCTCCAGGATACACTTTTCCCCCAAATTCAGGTGAAGGACCTTGTGTGCCCCTCTCCAGGTCAGTCCCCTCCCCTCCACCTGGGGGAAGCACTACCCCAAATTCATGAATTCAGTGTTCATCATCCCTGTATAGTTTTTTTTTTTTTTTTTAGACAGAGTCTTGCTCTGTAGCCCAGGCTGGAGTGCAGTGACATGATCTTGGCTCACTGCAACCTCCACCTCCTGGGTTCAAGCAATTCTCCTGCCTCAGCCTTCTGAGTAGCTGAGATTACAGGCGCCTGCCTCCATGCCTGGCTAATTTTTGTATTTTAGTGGAGACGGGGTTTCACCATGTTGGCCAGGCTGGTCTCAAACTCCTAACCTCAAGTGATCCGCCCGCCTTAGCCTCCCAAAATGCTCGGATTACAGGCGAGAGCCACCACGCCTGGCCCATTCCTGTATATTTCTTTAGACTTTTACCATAAAGGAATGTATCCTAAACAATACACGGAATTGCCTGGCATGTTTCACGTTTCTGTGTAAATGGCCACCACGTGGTTTATCTTCTTTTGCAACTTGCTTTCTTAGCTCCCTGTGGTATTTATGGGATTCAAGCGTGTTGACAGTTCACTCATTTTCACTGCCATCTTGCCCTTATGTTTCATAGCACCTCTTTCTCCAGACAGAGAGCACTTAGCCTATGGCCTTGACCTTCTGATCCCCCTGACCCTCAGCCCAGACACAGATTCCAGGGGAAATTTGGCACAAAATCTCAGGCTAAGACTCGGCCTTATAAAATTTTTTTTGGCAGCTGATGGTACCATGAAGGCCCTTGGGCCCGTGGGATCTCTGTGCGGGGAGGTCCAGTAGAAATCTCTGCTTCTGCGCGGTAGGCCTGAAATAATAAGCTGGCTAGAACAGGGCTTTTAATAATAGTCATCATCATCACCATCATCATCATGATCATCGTCACTCATAGAGCACATGCTGTGCACCAGGTGCCACTCCAAGCACGTTACGTGCTTTGACCCATTTCATGCTCACACAATCCCAAGGCGTAGATGCTATTATTTTCTTCATTTTCCAAGTGAGAAAACTGAGGCACAGAATGTTGAAGTGACTCACCCAAGTCAGCAGTTACCCAGTACCAGGACTTGAACCTGCTTTCACCCAAACAGTGTGACCCCAGGGCACACCCCCAAGTTTCACCACGTCCCGCTCCAGTCACCCAGGTAGTGGTCACCTCTGGGCCCTGGTATGGGTGCCTCCTGCAGGCTGCAGGCTTCCAGGCCCAAGGACATGGGTAGCTTGGTGCCACAGGAGCCCCATAAGAGCCTCAGGAACAGACAATAATGGAGCAAAGATGTAGAGGTACAAAGTCCTTCATCCCAGCCCCAGGGCAGGCTGCCGTGAGCCCGGCTTCCAGAGAACAGTGCAGAACAGGGAGGAGGCTGGGTGGGGGGCGGGGTTCCGAGGACAGCCTTGGAATGGAGCTGTTTAGATGCAATGGGTCTAACTGCTTTTTGGGGGAAATAGGTGGATAGAATGGGAGGGAATTGAAATTTTCAGACTGGATGGTGCCTAAGATCTCTTCCGTCTCTCAAGTTATGTGACCCTAAAGCAGAGGTGGGTAAATGCTTTCTATGAAAGCCCAGAAAAGGCATATTTAGGTATTGAGGATTCTACAGTCTCTGTCATGACTGCTGAACTCTGCTGTTGTGGCGGCGGAGGCCCATGGACCAAAGGTAAACCAATGGGTGAGGCTCCATGCCAATAAAGCTCTACTATGAACACAGAAATGTGAATGCCATGTAATTTCACTTGTCGTGAAATATTATTTTTTGATTTTTTTTCCTCAATCATTGAAAAATGTGAGCCTTTCTTAGCTCGCAGGCCACATGAAGTTGGGCAGTGGGCCAGATTTGGCCCATGGGCTGTAGTTTGCCAGCCCCTGTTCTAGAAGGAAAGGCCTGGATGGAGAGTCTAGAAGCCCTGGGTTACAGCTCTGCCATTTTCAAGCTGTGCATTTGTGAGCAAGAACTTAACCTCTCTAAACCCCACTTTCTCCTTTGTACAGTGGAGATATCACCATCTACTTCCCCTTCCTCCTGCCCCAGCATGGAGGAACTAAAATGAAAAGATTCGAGAGTGTATCCATCAGCTCTTGGCAGCAGAGGCTGTTCTCCGGAATGTTAGCAGCTCGTGATTTCCCCGCCCGCCCCCCAACACCACAAAGCCCTTGCAAGCTTAAAAGTCCAGGACTCTGTTTATCCCCTTTCCACCCTTTGCTGCTGTGCTCCTCCTCTGTCCCCAGCCCGGGGGTACCTCTGCTCCCCAGAGTCTGCTCCTCTGATGGTCTAAGCCATCCACCTACAAAAGCCCAGGAGGAGTGTGCTCCACCCACCACCTGGGATGCTGTGTCCATAGGCCTTGCCCTGAAAGGGATGTGTGCCCTGTGCCAAGGCCTTAGGCAGGGAGGAAGTCACACTGTGCACACCAAACATCCAGACTTTGAAAAGCTCTTCATTCATGCCCCCTTTCTGTAGTTCTTTGTTCAGAAATATTACTGACTGGATGGTTCCCAGATTCCAGGTCACTGGTTGTCAGGATTCTGGCTTATGCAAGGACTGAGAGCCCCCTTGTGTCACCAAGGCAGGACACTTTTTCTCATCAATGGCGAAAGGGGAAGAGGCTTAAGAATGGAAGGAAGAGACGGAAGTTGGGCATCACAGGGCTGTTAGCACCCCATGACCAGGGCCTGGTGGTGGGCAGCCCTGGGCCTTGGAGAAAGAGCCACGGGTAAAGACCAGCATGCAAGTTCCCTTCCCTGGGTCATTCAGGCTCTGGCCCCACCAGGAAGGGAAGCAGCTAGGGCCCCTCTCTTTGCTGCATTTCAAGCACACATTATGCATGTCCAGACAAGAGAGGGAAGGGCCTGCAGGGCAAGAGGCATCCCAGCCCAGTGTCTCCCTGCACCTCATTCTCTGTACTAGTTTGCTAGGGCTGCCCTAACAAAGCACCACAGACGGGTCCTTTAACAGCAGAAATGTATGTTCTCACAGTTCTGAAGGCTAGAGGTCCAAGATCAAGGTGTTGACAGGGCTGGTTTTTCCTGAGGCCTCTCTTGGCTTGCAGATGGCCGCCTTCTCGCTGTGTCCTCACACGGTCTTTCCTCTGTGTACACGCAGCCCTTGTGTCTCCTTGGTATGCGAATTTCCTCTTCTTATAAGGACATCAGTCAGATTGGATGAGGGCCCATCTCCATGACCTCATTTTAACTTAATTACCTCTTTAAAGGCCCTGTCTCCAAATATAGTCACATTCTGGGGTACTGGGGGTTAGAGCATCAACAATATGAATTATGGGGGTAGGGGCGCAATTCAGCCTGTAACACCATCTCTCCACTTCCAAGACAGCCCCCCACTCCGTGATGATGTGTGGGCACGGGGAAGCCCTTGAGATCTCAGTTCCGTGGAGTCTTGCAGACAGAAAGGGGCAGCATCCTAAGGGAAGGGGGGGAATGTTTTTGGTGGTTGAGAGAGTGCGGCTCTAGGTGTGCTTAGTGCGGGGGGTTGGCAGGAGAGTGGGGGTGTGTCTGTGTAAAAGTGGTACACTCCTTAAGGACCCAAACATGAGTATCAGTGATTCTGGGGAATAGTGGGCTGCAGGGCTCCCATGGAGCACCTATGAAAGCATGCATGCCCACAGCCTGGAAGCTGCAGCTACACCCTGCGGGGCAGCCCCCTCCACCCTAGCTCTGGGGCTGGCATTACTGAGTAGTGGCAGTGTTCCAAGCTCTTGATCCAAAGAGTCTCTCTGCAGCATGTCTGAAATCACGGCGTCCATCTCCTGGGCTCCTGTAGCCTCACGCCACGGTCACCCTCAGCTCCCGTGGGGTATGTGCATGGAGACGAGTGGCAGGTGTGCAGAGCACAGTGGGTGAGGGCGCCCAGCACGAAGGTTTCTCACACCACCTTCATCTCAGCTAGCAACTCGGCCCACCCCAACCCGCACCCCCTCTCCTGCCCCTGCCACGTGGAGAGAACTTTCTCCAACTTGTGTGCTTCCTCCTCTACCCACCCCTGCCCACCCCTCGCATGTTCCTTCTTCCCTCCCTGGCAGACCCAGGGAGGGTGCGGGCAGGCTGGGAGCTGGCTCACACGCCGCCTCTCCCTTTGTGCGTACCTCCTGGTATGATTATTAAACGCAAATTACAAAAGACGTGACCCAACCGATCTTTATTTCTTCTTTCAACAAGTGTTGCCTGCAGGGCCCTGATTCCAAATTCCGTTTCAATTATCCTGGCCATTTTAGACACAAAGCGGCTGGTGTTTGTAATTACCAGTGAGGAAGAAGGCAGAGAGAGGAAGTCCAGCAGCCCCAGCTCAGGCTGTTTTCCTCTTCAGTCTCAACTTTCATTGGCAGCGATTAAAGGCACCCGGAGCAAAAGATGAGATGCTCGAACGTGCCCATTACCATGTTACCAGATGCCCCTGGGGACCAGGTTACAGACTCGCAAGCCCTGGGCTCTCCGTCCCCCAAAACACAAATCTCTGGGGCTCCCCTGGTGACAGAATGAGCCAGACAAGCCCCCTGCCCCACTGCTTCTCCAAGGTGGGAGCACCCTGGCTGTTCCCAGAGAGGCAAAAAAGCAAGAGCATGGACTATCCTCACTTCTGATCACTCATTCTGGGGGGAAGGAGCTTCAAGTGTGTTCCCCCTTGTCCATGGGCTGTGGGGACACAGCAGGAGCAGCTTCATGAAGTAGAGAAGGAAATCAACATCATGCCCATCTGGAGCATGGAGCTGACATCTTGCTTCCCATTGTGCCCAGGCTGGTGCCACCCACACAGGGTATGGGATGCAAAGCCCAGATTTTAGAGTCCGGGAGGTCTGCATAGACTCAGCCTGCCACTTACTAGTCAGATGACCTTGACAAGTTATGTGACCTTGTTAAGCCTTCCTCAGGGTTGTCATCTGTGAAACAGGAGTAGTCATGGTGCCTACACCTCGCAGGCTGCTGTGAGGATTAAATCACATTTGCTGTGGAGCCTCAGCACAGCGCCTGGCACATGGTGGTGTGCAGGAAATCCTAGATGCTGGAGTTATGGCCCGATCAATGAAGATGGCCCAGCTGCTCCAGCCAAAGCCACAGGTGCCCCTTGCCTCCCACCCAGCCACCTCGCTCCCTCCTGGATGCCAGGACCTTGGGAGAGGCCTTGGGGGCAGGCCAAATGCTAGGTCTAAAGCCCGCTGCTGGCCCCCTCACCCCCACGGAGGGGCTGCTGAGCACAGCCCCCGGCCACGCCAGGCCAACGGGAGGGGCAATTTACAGCCACGCTTAGCAAGGGCCGGGCGAGCCATTTGTCACGCCGAGCTCGGGCACCTTGTTCTACCTGTGTTGAGTGTGTTTTATTGGTGTTGAGCAGAGTGAGGCCGGAGCGGAGTCGGGGATAGGAAACCCACTCAAGTGAAAAATGAGGAAAGCCAAATGGGATAGAGAAGAGTGAAATGGGGAGAAACAGCAGGGAAGGAGGTGAAGGGGCGGATTGTAAAACACAAGACAAATGTGTGCAGCAGCCCTGGGGTTACCGGAGAGAGGGGCTGGCGGCTGCTGCACCTGCCGGGCTCTGTCGCTGCACCCCACTGAGGGCTCCCGGAGGCGCCGCGTGCAGCTGCGATGGCAGGTAGGTGGGAGAGCATCCAGGAAGCCATGGTGCTGCGGGCCCCAGGCTGGGGTAGCCCCTGTTCCTCCAGGCAGCGGGGTCCAAAGAAAAAGGATTTTAAAAAGAAAAGCAAAGCCATGCCTGGGCCTTCTGATCCCCTCATCTTTTCCCCCTTTTTCTCTCTCTCCCTGGCTTACTCCGGAACAAGGAGGCCAGAGCGGATCTGCTGAGGATTTCACACCCTTCCCTTATTGTCCCTTAGCGCAGAAGTTTCAGGTCGAAACTCAGGAAACGAGACTGTAGTGAGGCAGATATAGAGATCTCCCTATTAGGAACAAGAAATGAAGGAGAGACGGGAGAAGCCGAGGAAGAGAGAGAGGGAGAGAGAAAGGGGGAGGGAGAGGCAGATAGAGAGACAGACCCTTGGCTTTGTGCTGGCAACAAGCCACTAAAGGTGCATTTTTAATTAAATTTATACAAAATGTGTCAGTTTTATCTCTAGGTTTCAAACTTGACTCTTTTCTATCAAAGAGAGGTATTGATCTCCATTGCCCCGGAGCTACCTGACTGAATTAAACAGAATAAATAGGAGGAGGAGGCCTGAAAGGACTCAGAAACAACTGCAGAGAGGCAAAATCTAATGGCTGTGCAGTCATTTGCTGCAATTAAAAAACAAAACCATTTAGAGGGTCTGTTAACACCTTGGAGTCAGAAAACTCTCGCTTCAAAAAAAAAAAAAAAAAAAAAGGCTCCAAACAGCTCCCAGGCAAAACATTTTAATTGCTATAAATCCTTCCATCTTTGGCTGGCACTTGTGTATCTGCGCATCTTCCTGCAGCACCCAGACGCACACACACACACAGCTTCCATCCCACGGCGCCCCCATCCGTGTCAGCCTGGAGCTCTCTGGTCCTTTGTACTGACAGCCTGGCCCAGACAGCATTCAGCTCCAGATACACGCTCGGGCCTAATGGGTTGGTTTTCTCACTCTCTAGGCAAGTTACTGTGCTTCTCTCTGCCTCAGTTTCCTCATCTGCACAAGGGGGAAAATAATACACACTCCACAGGGCTTTTGCAAGGATGAAGTGCTCTATTAAAGGGCTTTGTGCAGTGTCTGGAACAGAGTAAATGTGCAGTAAATGGTAGTTTAAAGAAATAAACTTCTATTCACAGAGTCTGATTCTGTTCTCCTGAAGGTGGTTGACTTTGTGTGAATGATGACGATGGCACCCCTCCCTGGATCATGCCAGCAGCTCCTCTGAGGATTTTACCCATTATGTTTTCCTATTTGCAGCACTTCCACTATAAGACTCTGAGTGATGACTCTTGAGCCCCATGACTTTCCATTTTGTCTCTTATGACGTCAGAAATGGACGTGCCAATCACACAAGAGATGGCAGAGTGAGGCCGGGCACAATGTCTCATGAATGTAATCTCAGCACTTTGGGAGGCCGAGGTGGGTGGATCACAAGGTCAGAAGTTCAAGACCAGCTTGGTCAACATGGTGAAACCCCATCTCTACTAAAAATACAAAAAATTAGCCGGGTGTGGTGATGCACGTCTGTAATCCCAGCTACTCAAGAGGCTGAGGCAGGAAAATTGCTTGAACCTGGGAGGCGGAGGTTGCAGTGAGCTGAGATTGCGCCATTGTACTCTAGCCTGGGTGACAGATGCAAGATTCTGTCTCAAAAAAAAAAAAAAAAAAAAAAAAGAGACGGCAGAGTGATGGACAGGCTGCCAAGGTGGTGGTCTGTTCTGTGGCTCTCTTGCTTTTGCCTGAATCTCAGCCAGGGCAGACAGCCTACACTTAGAAGGGCCTTGTGCTTGGTTTCATGCTCTGCTGCCTATGATTTCAAATTCTTAATCATTTTTGAACAAGGGGCCCTGCATTTTCATTTTTCACTAGGTCGGACAGATTATGTAGCTTGTGCCAACTTCAGTGTATCCCTGCGTCACCCCCTTGGATTCCCTTGGTACTTATCTCTGTCAAGCACCACCATATTCCCAGCTGCTCAAAACCATGGAGGCATCTTTACTTTCTCTCTTTCACTGCTCCTAGCATCACTAAGACTGGGTTGTCTCTCAAAACCACATGTTGAATCCATATCCCTCCCTTCCCTTTGTAGTCCTGAGCAGCCCCGGCTCAGTCCCTGAAGACTGTAATCAGTTTCCTCTGCCGAGGTCTCTTCTTTAATCCAATCAGAACAAGACCCCCTTTGGCCTGGCCAGTGTCCATCACTAGGCCAAGGTCAGCCCACGAACACAGTGACAATGTGGTCCTTGCACTGGCAGTGGCAGCACCAGCTGGGTGTTTATTAGGAATGTAGATTCATGACCGCTCCCCAGACGAACCTACTGAATTAGAAGCACTGAGGGTGAGGCCCAGTCATCTGGGTTTTAGTAGGCCGTCCTGGTGATTCTGGAACTTACTGAGGTTTGAGAAGCATTGCTTTTCAATGGGTACTGGTTATCAGCCACTCCTGGCTCCCCAGGCCTCTGGACCCAATGTGGCTGCTCCGGGGATTCCTGCCCATTCCCTCGTGCCCCTCCTGGAGGGTGGCCATCACTCCTCTGCCTATCGGGAGAGCTGATCAGTCCCATCTCCACATGGGCCGCAGTGGACTGACCAGCACTGCTTAATTAAATGGGGAAAAGATCAGGTCAGTGCCAGATAAGCACGCAGGATTAAAACAGACAAAAAGAATGGACAAGGGGGACCTGTCAGCACCCTGGCCTGTCTGGAGTGATTATTAATAATGATAAGCAGGAGAGTGGGAATAATAAAGGAATAATGAGCTGGTTCTGAAAGTGACAGGAGATGAAATCTGATAAAGAGCTGAGCCCTGGGTGCCTGTTGCCCTGGGGCGCAGTGGGGAACCTGTGGGAGAGGCTCTGGCCAGGCAGAGGAAAGGGCCTTCTTCTTTCAGGGAGGCTGAAGTCCCAGGAGGCCTATTTGACCAGGGCCTCAATGAACCTACATTCACTCTCTTTTCTCCAGAAGACCAGGGGACTGTCAGTCCCCACAGGTTCATGAAAATCACCTGTGGGCCTGTGTTCAAAATGCAGATTCCCAGGCCCCACCCCAGAGATTCTGATTCCCTAGGTCTAGGGTGGAAGACAGGCATCTGCATTTTGTAAGCTCCCCCTAGGGGATCTGGTGCAGGTGGTCTGTAAACTGCTTTGAGAAACACTGATCTTACGCCAGGGAGGGTATTCGACCTGGAGCACGGGCCTATTTCATGTCCAGATCATTCAGAAAATACATGTGGCAGCAGCTGGCAAAGGACAGACAGTAGGAGGGTGGGGAGGGGTGAACCTGTGCCTCCTACGTGAGCTCTACAAAGGAGGGCAAAAGTGCCACCTGCGTACAGGGAGGAGTCGCGCACCAGAATTGGCCTTGCTTGTCAAGCCTTGGTCACCTGGCATTGGCGCTGACAGACATTACCACTGCCATCTCCTTTGACCAGTGGTCACAAACTCAAAATGTCCACAGAAACCACAGGAAGAGAACAGGCAGGGAATGGGGGAGCTGGAGAGACAGCCTAAGCCCTGTCCCAGGGTCTCCAGTCAGTGCCATGAGGGAAAGTAGGCTTGGCATTGCCAGATCTTTCAAACTAGCAGAGGTCTTCTTGTTTTTACCGTGAGCCAACAGTTTGCAACCTCTCTGCCTTAGACAAAGGTTCTCGAATGGGGTAGGGCTTTGGGAAGGCGCTTATTTAAAATGCATAGTCTCAGGTCTTTCCTGCCGTCAGACTCTAACCCAGTAGGTCAAGGGGCCCAGGAACCTGTATGTTTAATAAGCCCTGCAGGTGCTTCAGATGCAGGTGGACCAGGGCCAGGTGGCTACCTCTGAGAAACCCTTCCTGGCAGGTGTTGCCATTTTGCCTCTAGACTCAAGGAAAACAACTTAGTGGCCCACTTAAAGGTGGTCAGAAGGAAAACCTGATGTCCTTGGTGCAAGGTGAGACTCCCTGGGTTCAGTGCTCCCTTTATGCAAAGTCAATGGGCAGAGCTTCCAAGGGGCAGAGCCACCCGGCATTGACCATGGATGTGTGTTCCTCACTGAGGGAGACCCCAGAGGAGGGACAGAACTTTGCTGCACCCCAAGTCAGGAAGAGGATCCAGCAGATCACCAACAGAAACACAAAACAGGGACGGACACTACTCACTCATCTGGTGCTTCTTGAGGATGGAATGAGAAAGGCCTGGGCTTAAGCCTCAGTTTCTCTTCTCTCTGAAATGGGCATGATTGCAGTACCCACCTCACAATTGAGAAGACTGAGTGGGATAATGTACAGAAAGCATTTTGCACGTTGCCTGACAACTGGTAAGAGCTTCAGACATGTTCGTTAGTATTATTATTGGAGGTTGGTAACATGCAGGAAGACATAGCTAACAAGGGCACTGCAGGGATGAAGGAAGACACAGCTAACACGGGCCCTGCAGGGACTTTACTCTTAGTCTTAACCACGTGCAAAGCCATCTAGGTGAATAGCACCTAACACGGTGTCTGGCCACAGAGCACTTCCCAATATGCATTAAAAACAAATGCTCAAAGGGCCCTCAGGAGATACCAACCCTGATTTTCCTTCTAAGTCCAAATATGACACCCCACCCCAAATACAGACTGGCTTAGCTCTTCAAGCCAGGCCTCCTTGCTCCGGCATGGGCCACTGTGTCCTCCCCACGTGGTCTAGCCCCTCTGGCTCCCCCTCACCCCCATTGCCTTGGAAAAACCATCCCAGAAGACGAGTGCTCCCTCTGCCACTTTCTTACCCAGCAGGTCATTAGAAAAGAGTCAAACAGACGCCTGTCCTTCCAGCATGCTGAAAGGCTAGCTCTGAGCCTGCACAGCGCCCTGGCCTGGGGTCTTGGCTGAGGGGCACTGCCTGAGGGGGCACTGGAGGCCCCTGTGCCTCCTGATCTAGCTCTCAGGGGCTCAGGGGATGCTGCAGTCTGGCAGAAAGAATTTGGAGGTGAGCCAGTGCTGGGCTGGAACAGGGTCCCTGCCAGGTTGTCATGAGAAGGCGGTGGAAGGAAGCAGGCTCAATCTGAACGGTCATCCCTGGTGGGGGTTAACGAGGAAACCGAATTGTGGATGGGGAATCTATGGCGTAAAGTGCACCACTGAAAAGAATGAGTAGAGAGTCACCGACAGAACAAGGAGAGAGGCACCGACAGAACGAGGAGAGAGGCACCGACAGAACGAGGAGAGAGGCACCGACAGAACGAGAAGAGAGGCACCGACAGAACGAGAAGAGAGGCACCGATGGGAAAGTTCTGCAAGGTGTGCTGGCAAGAGGAAAAAGCAAGTTACAGGCCATACTTGCAGAGTGGCTCCAATTACATAAAGAAAGCCAAGCTCCTGGTCTCTATTTGTCCACCTATGTGTACATCAGTGCCCTGAATTATCTGAAAGGGCACACCCTGCTCACCTCTGGGGAGGGCTGTGGAATGGGTGGGGGCAGAGCAGAGTGAAAAGGGATTTTTAATATATTTAAATATATAGCTTTACATTTAGTGAATATGCATTAATTGTTTAAATAAAGATGATATTTAAAAAATAGGATTGTGTGACCTTTAAAAGGGGTATTATTATTATTATTTTTTTTAAAGATCTGGCATCAAAAGTTCTTATATCCTCCAGGTCAAAAATACGATTGCAATGCAAAAGATGGCACATCCTGCTCTCTCGGGGTGATGGACTTTTTAAACAGCCTGGGGCCCTCAAGTTTCCCTGTGTCCTCCCTAATCTGGGCTCAACAAACCTGCACTTCCACAAGAATGTCAAAAACAGCTCCCAAATGCCTGTGTTTTACTTCAAATTGGACCATCTGCTCTCTCCAATAGTCAAATCTGCTAGATTTTCCTTTCCAAATGTAATCATGGAAAACAAAACTGAAGATGAAATTGAAAGGCTAGCTCTGAGCCTGCACAGTGCCCTGCCCTGGGGTCTTGGCTGAGGGGCACTCCTTGGGGGGCATTGAAGGCCCCTCTGCTTCCTGACCTAGCTCTCAGGGGGTTGGGGAATGCTGCAAAATGCCAGAGACGGTGGGGGACAGACAGGAGCTCCCCAACTCACCCACCTGAGATGGTGAGGGCTGATGGGGGAAAATCTTTATAGTCTGGTTCATTGGGGTATGAATCACATACAATAAAAATCATCCTTTTTTGGCCACGTGCAAAAAAGTAATCCCAGTACTTTGGGAGGCCGAGGTGGACGGGGCAGATCACTTGATGCCAGGAGTTCAAGACCAACCTGGCCAACATGGCAAAACCCCATCTCTATTAAAAATACAAAAATTAGCCAGACGTGGTCACAAACGCCTGTAATCCCAGCTACTTCGGAGGCTGAGGCAGGAGGAACCCAGAAGCTGGAGGTTGCAGTGAGCCAAGATCGTGCCATTGCACTTCAGCCTGGGTAACAGAGCAAAACTCTGTCTCAACAACAACAAAATTCATCTTTTTTTAAAGCGTAAGGTTTCATGAGGTTTTCAAATACAACAAACGGACATATGACTGCCACCACAATCAAGATATGGAACATTTCCACCCCCTAATCCCCACCCCTCAGCAACTTTCTCTCTGGTTCCTTTAAAGTCAATCCTTGCCCTGCCCCACTCCCCTAGGTTGGTTAATTTCTGTTCCCTAAAGAGCTAAATAATTTTTTCCCTCTTTGCTTAGTTCTCCTACTAAGTGCCATCTCCCCCATCTATGTAGCCTCAGTCTCCACCTAGAGAGGCACCTTCCTGTTCAACCTGTGTTCTACTGCCTTTGTCCTTACAACTGCAAGACCACGTTGGAGGGCCTTGTGCCTTAGGGATGGTGGGAAGCGGTCCTTCCTCTCCTGTCAGAACAAGCTGGCCCCTTCACAAAACCCACAGTAGCCTCTGCTCTGCCATCAGAGCATGCCCTGCCCCCTTCTGCCATATCAGAGAGGTGGCTTTACTTCCCGGCACCTGCCCCGGCAAGGTCTGGGGTGCAACTGCTTCTACATCTCTTCTCCCACATCCAGAGATGATCCCCAGATCCTGAGAGGCAACAGGTGTCGCTATAGAGGGCAGGCATCTCCTGTCTCCTGGCAGGCCTAGTATGTCATGATATCCCTTGTTCTCTGCCCATAAAGCCACCAACAGAGGCTATCCGTGCCCTACCTCAGCAAGAAGACACCAAGTTGGCTTCTACTCCTGCTGAGAGGGGACCAAATTCTTGCCGAGTGCCCCCTGAGGGGCTTCCAGCTCCTCCTTTTCAGGCCTTCTCAGTTGGGTTGGATTCCACATTGGTGCTTACCTGAATGAAAGAGGGATCTGCTACTGGCGCCCCACCGGGGATCCCTGACCTGAATCTCACCCACACTAGGGTTCATGAGCCATCTGGCTTTGGAGGTGAGCCTGCTCCCTATCCCTGTAACAGGCTGTGTCTTCTCAGCCCTGGCCAGGAGTTGTTGCCCCCTGAGTCTAGCTGGGCCACCACCAGCTCTCTGTTTGGCTCATCTGGGAAGCAGACACCAACGCGGAGCTGGAAGTGCAGGAGATTTACTGAGGGTAATTCCTGGGAAAGATCAAGGGGGAGGCGAAGGAGCAGGAGCAGGAAAAGCCTTCAGGTGGTGATGAGGGTCTGAGGCCTGAGAAAGGGGAGAGGGCAGGAAGGAGGACTGGAGGGCAAGTGTCTCAGACAGCAGCACAGCTTGGAGAAAGTTCTGGCCTCCCCACGGGGAACGCCGTGCAAAGATTGCAGCAGAAAGTCCTGTGCTGGCCAGAAATGGTGAGCCCTTGTACCACTGCCATGTTCAGTCACAGGCTGGGAAGCACATGGTCTCAGCCTGGACACGGAGTGGCCTGTGTAGAGACGCTGCTGGCTGCTAGGTGGCCCCCGAGGCCTCTTTATAATGCCTACACCGGCGGAGGCCGGAGAAGGAAGAAGGCAAACCTCCCACCTTTTCCTGTGACAGCTGAGCACAGGACAGACACCATCCACGTTGGGCACCTGGCAAAGGGTCCTGTTACTGGTCCTGGAAATAGCCTAGGACTCTGCTTCAACTCTTGTCAGATGTGTGCCAGACACAGAGTTAGACTGATCAGAGGAGGAGAACCCGTGGTAGGGAAACTGGGCCTTCTCCACAGCTTGCATGATGTGAGGTTAGATGGCAGGCAAGGGCCCTGGTTACTGACAAAGGATGCTGGCTTTTGTTAGTAACCAGGGTCCAGGCTCAGGAACATGACCTTGGTTGGATAAGTGTCGTTGGGGGACAGAATCCTCACTGGTAAAATGAGAAGATTGGGCAGGGCTCTTAAAGTGAATGCCTGCGTGGCCAGGCAGGAATGCGTCCGCGGAAGCACGTGGGCTGATCACCTGCTACTCATTAAAAGCTGTTGCTTCTCAGCTCCAGTCAATAGCTGCTCTAAGAACAGCAGCTCCAGAGTAGCCAGATCCTCCCATTTTCTTTCTTTTTCTTTTTCTTTCTTTTTTTATTTTTTATTTTTATTTTTTTGAGACGGAGTCTCACCCTGTTGCCCAGGCTGGAGTGCAGTGGTGCGATCTTAACTCATTGCAACCTCCACCACCCAGGTTCTAGCAATTCTTCTGCCTCAGACTCCCGAGTAGCTGGGACTACAGGCGCGTGCCACCACGCCCAGCTAATTTTTGTATTTTTAGTAGAAATGGGGTTTCACCGTGTTAGCCAGGATGGTCTCGATCTCCTGGCCTCGTGATCTGCCCACCTCACCCTCCCGAAGTGCTGGGATTACAGGCATGAGCCACCATGCACGGCCGATCCTCCCATTTTCTAAGAGAAGCTGGAAGCTGCAATTAATTTTCTGGATAGAAATAAGCAGCTGAACTTTGGGAGCAAGCAGTTATTTTCCAAGAGAAGCTGGAAGTCTAAACCTTTCAGTTTTAAATGTTGATAATTAACAAAACAATTAAAAACAGTGCATGAGCCAAACCCAACATGTCCTGTGAGTCAGCATCAGCCTATGGCCTCCAGTTTGTGACCTTGGGGTAGATGCCCACTCAGGTCCGGTCAGGTCCTAATGCCCTGTGATTTATGATCAGGCACAACAAGTGACCACTGCCTGCCCATTCAATGTGATCAGAACTAATCTTCATTGAGGGCTTACTTTGTGCCAGACACTTAACAAGCATCAGCTCAACAAGCATCAGCTCATTTAATCATCACAATAGCCCTGTGATTCAGGAATGATTTTCAGCGTCACTCCACAGATGAGAAAACTGAGGCTCAAGGAGTTATGAGAACATACCCAAGGTCGTACAGCTGCGACGTGGAAGAGCACAGATGTGAACCTGGCATCATCCCATTCTCAGCCACCACGCCTGCCTGCCTTGCTTCCTCTGGGCTGACCATCAACTCACAAGGGACACTTCAGCACCACGCAGCCCACATAGCATCCAGGGAAATTCTGGGACTGACACTTAAGAGGAAGTCCCCAAATTCTTGTTCATTCTCCATTCAGGGCTGTGGCTCTCTCACCCCTCCTGTGCTGTCCTTTGGGGACACACCTGCAGTCTGCTGGCGGACGTGTGGCTGCTGGGTGGAATCTACCGCCGCTAAAGGTCTGGAAGAGATAGCGTTCTGCAGGATTCTTTCTGGTCTTCTCCCAGCCCCTCCTTGGCCAGGTGTTTTCTTGTGGGGAGCACAGGAAGGGGATGCTCTCCCTCCTCCCCGAGGCAGCGCTGGTGGCTGCAGCTGCAGCAGCTGTTCCTGGGTGGGCTGGCCAGCCAGCGTTCGGTGGGAGCCAAGAGCCCCTGCAGCCTGGGAATTCTGGGCTAATGCTCAGTCCTGGCATGGTCTCCTCTCTCACTGACCCCTCCAGTCCAGGTCACCACGACAGATGCTAGGAACATATGCCGTGAATTAATTCACTCCGGCACAGCCACAGAAGAACGGCTTCTTCCTCGTTCTGCTCCCACCACCCTTGCTTTCTGATTTCTGCCTTGCCAAAAGAAAAATCAACATTTTCCCCTTCCCTTGCTTCTAACACCCACTCCACTGGGCCTTCTCTTCAATATCCTGAGCCCGCTGACAAAGGCATTTGGCTCCTAGAGACTTCCTCACCCCCACATCCCAAGTAGGATCAAAGGGCCAAGAAGGAGCCAGATGTCCCCCTTTCCAGCTTTTTTGTCTCCAGATAGATCATGTCCCTGTTCCTGGAACTGATGAGTGCTCGTTTCCTTTTCTTAAAGAAAGGTTGTCTCTCCTTTAGGGGCCAGAATCTCCCCACCCTTCTAGTCTTTCCTTACATTTAACTCAAATCACTCCTGCTGCAATGAATTTCCTGGATAGAAACAAGCAGCTGAACTTTGAGAGCACGCAGGTTTGTTATTTCTCATCTTCATTCTCTCCTCTAAGGAGGGGTTGGCAACATTTTTCTGCAAAGCGGCAGATAGCTAATATTTTAGGCGTTGTAGGCCAGACGATCTCTGTCACAACTAAGTTCTGCCCCTTGTAGCATAAAGGCAGCCATCGACAAATGAGCTGTTGTAAACAAATGAGCACGTAAACAAATGAGCATGGCTGTGTTCCTGTAAAACTTTACAAGAACCAAGTGGCCTTCGCTCAAAGCAAATCAGCCCCACCTCTGTTATTTCTTGGTGGGCGAAGTATCCCTCTCTCTCTCCTCCCATCTGTATTTTGCAGATCATATGGGCTCCTTCACTCACACACTATTTATTTGCTAGCTTGTGAGTTTCTAGAGGTCAGGAGTGTGCTTTATTTGACTTTGAACTCCTGGAATAGGCATGCAGTTGGATAGAAATGCGATCAACACCTAGTCTTGGACTGGAAGAGCTTACAGGCTAGTGGGGAATACAGACAGATGAGGCCTATGTTCTCAAAGCAGAGATAAACTCAATGATAGGAAGAAGGCAGGGAGGGAGGAATCAGAAGAATATGCCTCCCACAAACTCAACAGCAGCCTTTGAAAAAATTAAGGACAGGAAACAAGAAAAAAGTACTTACTTAACCCTGATATCCTAAAGAACTGAGGCCCTGAAAAACAGTTTGGCAGTTTCTTAAAAGTTAAACGTAAACATACCATATGATCCAGCAATTTAATTCCTAGGAATCTACCTAGGTGGAATGAAAACATCTGTGCAGCCGGGCACAGTGCTCACACCTGTAATCCCAGCACTTTGTGGGGCCGAGGCAGGCGAATCACTTGAGCTCAGGAGTTCGAGACCAGCCTGGCCAACATGGTGAAACCCTGTCTCTACTGAAAATACAAAAATTAGCCGGGCATGGTGGCACACGCCTGTAATCCCAGCTACTCAGGACTGTCCAGAATCAGCAAACTGATGGGGCCGGAGAGCAGTTGCCCAAGGCTGGGGATGAAAGCAGGAATTAACTGTAAATGGACACAAGGGAATTCTGTAGGATGAGGAAAATGTTCTAGAACAGGATTATGGTGATGGCTGCAGAAACTCATATATTTCCTAAAAATCACTGAATTGTACAACTTCAATTGTGTACTCTTAATTTTACGGCACACAACTTTTATCTAAATAAAGCTGTTACAAATAACAAAACAAAACAAAACCTGGTGCCAAGCCATCTTTCCATCCATGGCTGAGAAGTGATTCATGAGGGGAGATGAAGGTGATACCCCCTAGCAAACTGCAGGCACTGTTGCCATAAACTGTCACTTTTCCTACGTTAACTTTTCAATCTTATCCAGTTCTCAAATCCAATAACAGCAGCTGGCTTTTACTGGGCGCCACAATCCCAAGAAGACAATATTAATATCATCCCATTTTCCAGATTAGAAAACAGGATCAGAAAGGGAAAGCAGCTTGCTCCAGGGCCCAGAGCTACAAGGCAGAGCTGGGACTGGAGCCCCATTCTGCCTGATTCTAGAACCTGTGCTCTTTGCCACTGTTATTTACTCCTATTCCCTCTACCTACCCTTTTCCCCATTGACTCTTTGACCTGAAGGAGAAAAGCATGGTGCTGCTTGGTCAAGCAAGGCAGAGTCTACGCTTCCACATCTCTCTGCAGTAAACAGCACTTTGCATGCAGGTCTCTGGCAGCAATGAGCCCAGAAGCGCCCTTACCTACTAAGCAGGAAGGCCTTGATTTGTGCCAGTAACACATTTTGATCAAGCAACACTGAACAGGTGGTGGCATGTTTCCAGTGAGAGCATGTAGTTATAAATGCCCATCTGGAGTGTCGTGGGGTTTAGCAAAGATGAACCACCAGTCAAGGATAGAGATGACCTAAGCTTCAGCTGCCGGCCTGCCTGGATGAATTTCTGGCTTGAGCTCTTCACTGGGAGCCGAGTTCCCAGGGAGCACTCCGTGCAGGGGCCTTATAGTGCCTCTCTGACTGTCTGGTGCAGTGGGCACACCCTCCTTCCTGGTGGGGAGCTGGCAGCAGCCTCCCAGCCTCTGGTCTCTGACAGACAGAGCTCATTGTTCTCTCCTGCAATGTAGCATCAATAGTTCTGCCTCTTCCAGGCCAAGGCATGAAGAGGCCATGCAGTAGTTTGAGGGAAGTTTTCCATAGTGTGCCTGTCAAGCCCAAGGAAGCCTGAGAATGCTGTCATCACAGGAGGGAGAGGACCCCAGACACCCAGAGGCCTTTCCTGTGACAAGCCGGGCCTTGGGCACAGCGAGCCAGAGAACCTTCTCTTTCGTTGTCACCCCCACCCCGGGCACCTTGACTTCCAGCCACTCCTCCAACAGGTCAGGCACATGCCTTCCTCCTGGTTTTTGCAAATACTGTTCCTGCTACTGAGAGCACTGTTCCCTGGGCACCAGTCTCACTCCTTCCTTCACCTTGTCAGTTGTGTGCCCAAATGCTCCCTTCTCAGGGAGGCCTCCCGATTGCCCTATTAAAAAATCACGACCCCCCTCCCCAGCACTCCCTTCCCTGTGCCGGCTTCATTTTTCTCTATAGTATCTCTTACCACTTGAGACACTATCTATTTTACTTTATTTGTCCATCTCCCCTTCCAGAATGTAAGCTCTATAAGGGAAGGGAGTTTTGCCTGTCTAGTTCTGTATCTGGAGTGTCTAGACCAGAGCCTGGCCTGAGGGAAGTGGCAATCAATTATTCCACAAAGTAATGAACTTCCCCATCACAGCCCGGCCTATGAACGGCATCTCTGCCGTGACCACCTAATGCCAAAGACACCAGGGGAGATTTTGTCAGAGACCAGCTGGGCTACCCAAGCCTGCTCAGAAGTGACTTGAGCCCGTCTAAGAGAAACTGGTAAGGAACTGGTTAACAAGCCATGTATTACTAGAAATGGCAGCACCAAGATTCTTCACTTCATGCTCCCCCACACCTGCACAAAACCATATTGCTGCTACCTGTGGATGCTTATTGATTCTGTCACTGCCCTCTTGGGCCATGTTCCTGAAAGGCTCTCTGAAGTCAAGTATATGACACCGTTGGATGTAACCTAAGGAAGGTATTTTCCATGTCAGATGAGAACTGGGCGGTCATAGATTCTGCAACATCCCATTCCTCTGGCACCCTGAAGCCATGATGAGCAAATGCTGGGTAAAGGAAGAAGCCCAGACAGGACATGATCAGGGCACAGGACAAGTGAAAGGAGACTCAGTCACATGTGGCCTGGACCTGATTTGGCTGAGCTCAGTTTGCTCAACGTAGAGCTGCTCCTACCCAGTCCCACTGCCCTGGGGCCAGGACTCTTGAGCTCACCTATGTTGCCAGGCTTCACACCAGGGGACTGACAGAAGCCCTCTGCTCTGTGGTCACTCCACAGACAAGAGTGGGGACGGGGAGGGGTGGTGGCAGTGGACTTCTTTCTCCCAGTGAACTTGTAAATTCTGTCTGCTATAAACTAGATTACTTTCCCAAGATGAAGGCAGCAGTGGGTAACAGAAACACAGGTGGTAAAGCGCTGTGGCATCAGAACTTGGAATTCCAGCTCTGCCACTCAGCTGGATAATCTTGGGCGATCTCTTAACCTCTCTGAGTCTGTTTCCTCATCTGTAAAATGGGATAACCACAGCATCTGCTTTACTGGGAGGCTGTGAGGATGAAATCTGATCATTCCTGTGTGCTGAACCCAGCACCTGGCATGCAGTGAGAGCTCCATGTTAGATCTTGTTGCTGCTGTTGTAAAATAAAGGGAGAAAGGAAGTCAGCCCCTAGCCACTTGCTCAGGCTGGCTGGAGACCTCCAAGGTTATCAGAGTCCTGAGGCAGTTGGATTTCCAGTAATTAAGGGAGTAGAAATACAGCCTTTCTCCTTTGGGTTTCAGACTGATGTAGACTCAAGCAAAACTAGCCTGGATGGAAACTTTTCAGTGGCCATGGGAATTATTCCAAAGAGGGGCTGCCTGGGCTAAAAGTGTGACTCTGGAAAAGGAGGAAATGGAACCCTAAAGCCACTAAATCCCCGAGTTTATAATTAACAGACAAGCATTCGCTCTGCCTGTTCTGGAGCCATGTGGCTCGCCGGGGAAGGGCACCGTAGTCACACAAAAATAACCCCCCAGTGGGTTTTTGATGTGTTGAGCCTCTTTGTTTTTCTGAATTTTAATGAAGGGCTTTCCAGGCAGGATAACAGAAGCACTCAGCGCTCCCTATGGCCGGGGAGTGGGCCTTAGTTAGCTGCTGCCAGCCTAACCCAAAGCCGCATCCAAGAGAAGCAGGCAGCGAAGGGGCTCTGTCCTCAGATAAGAAGTCTCAGGGAGGAAAAGAGAAAAACAAAAACAAAAGACAGCTCTGTTTAGGAGAAGGGTGGGACTCTGCTCCTGATCTCAGCACATCTTGGAACCAGGCGGTTATAATACTTGCAGCGGTGGAGATGGCTGCAACGTATCTAAAAGGATAAGGAGAAGGGAGGCCCAGGCTCTGTAAGAGAGGGCTTCCATGGAATTCTCAGGGCTGCTGGCTGGCCCCTTCCCATGAGAATCAGAAATGAGGCTCTGGGAACCTGTAGAAGCTTTTGGAGCTCAAGGCATGGACTGCAGGAAGAGGGGAGAAAGGAGAATATTGTCACAACAGCCACCAAACCCTGATGCGAGTGAAGAATGAGTCTCCTTATCCCTCCCGCCGCCTCCTCCCTCCGCTGCAGCTGCCTGGAAGCCTATGATGCAGGTGGCAGTGCTGCGTCACTAAGGTCACAAAGGGCCCAGAGCACCCACGGGAAGGGAGGCCCCGCCCCAGAACCCCAGCAGGCAACTGTTTGAAACCTCCCGAGAAGTGAACAGCTTTCAGTAGGAGTGCCCACTCCTTCTCCGCCTGAATCGAACTCTCCCACATGCTCCGCAACAAGGCCGCGAGTTCTGAGTTCCTATCAGCTGGTTTAAAAGCTGTTCTCCTTCACTTGTGATACATTTTCCAAGAAGAGACTGGAAAGAAATGGAGGAGATGGCACAGAATAAGCAATTTATTGCAATTGAATTATCCAATGTGGTTGACTGAATATAAATATTTTTATTACAAAATATTCCAGGTAAAAATTCGGAGCTGCTTACAAGCTTCTTTAGCTTTAAGCTCATTGCATTTCTTCATGTCTAGAGCATGGGTGACGGGCTCAGGTGTGCCTGGCCTGCCCCGCAGGGTCCTCCTTCTCCGTCTGCAGTGGGTCCCACTCAGTGAGGACCTCTGAGGACACCTCAGTGAACAGATGGTCCCAGTCCCAGCCGACATCATCCTGCCAAGAAGGGTTTCGCTGGGTAAGACAAAGAAAGGCCTTTTCCCTCAACTGTAGCTGACTTCTCCCTCCCATCCAGGCCTCAGGGAGGCACAGGCCAGCCCGGGAGTCGGCTGGTTATGGGAATGCCAGAGCTGAGAGACCGGGGAATTGCTGCCACCACTGTACCTCCCGGACTTCGTGCTCCGGCGCGAGCACTTTGGTGAGGAGTTTCAGGTCGATCTCCCCATCCTGTGAATGCAAACAAAAAAAGGTCAGGCTGAGCACCTTGAGGGCTTTCAGGCAACTCTTTCTCACAAAACCGGGATCAGTTTTTGTGTGTCAGAACTTCCCAAACTGAGACCTGCAGGAATGCCTTCACAAGAGAGTAAAATCATGAATGAACCACATGCCCACTGAGAAATGAGGGAAGGCTATGCTTCCCACATGCTGGGCGTGCTTTGGGGCAAAGGACCATACCAGGAGGACCGAGTGTGACAGCAGTACAGCCACAGGGACAGAGGGGAGTGGGGTGCCATCAGGTGCCAAGTGGGCAGCCATGGAGGCAGGTGGGAGCCTGGCACTGAGAAACACTGTACTATGTTGGGTCCAGGGTTGCTGTGAGATGAATGATGATAAAACCTGCAGCAGAGGTATGGGTGCCAGGCAGGCAGCCTCAGGGGACTGGTGGAGGCGCTGTATAGCTTGGGAGGAACTGAGAAATCTCTACGGATTGAAGCCCATTGCTTGGAGCCCGCCTCTCTATGCAGAAGCTGTTCCACTCACCAGTGTCTGAATGGCTGAGTACTTCATGAGGTCATTGTCCAGGTCACGGTAGGTCATCACCCGCTTTATCTGGATGCTGAAGGAAAGAGAGAGCGAGAGGCGGGAACCCCAGGCAGGACCTGTTCCAGGAGTGCTGCCGGGCCACCGTCCCCAGAACCTTGTATACAGCAGGGGATGACCAGAATGGGAATAACAAAATGGGAACCCTGGATGGAGCCCAACACCAGAAAGATCCAGATTGACATCAAGGTCCACTATAGATGATATCTGGAGTGTATTAATTCACGTGTTCTTTGCCTCCCCAATCATATCTGATTTAACCTACCTGGGAGGGGCTGCCACCTGCAAAACAAAGTCTTCTTCCTGTACTTCCTCCAGATCCGGAATGATAGGAATATCTGCAAGGAGAGGCAGAGGCAACACTGTCTGCAGAACTCATAGGGATTGTGCCTGCTTCTCCACTTCTTACTCATTCCCCTTCAACACACCAGCCATGGGGCTGTGGGCTGGGGCAGGAAGGACACTCAGATACAAACTAGGGGTAGGATCAAAGGTGGAGTTTCAACGATGTCTGAATCCCAGGCCTCATTCCAGAACCTGCTGAGATAGAACCTCCTGGGTCACGCTCAAGCATCCAGATTTTTTTCCCAGGCGTTCCTTGGTGATTCTGACGCGTGCAACAGGTTAGAAGCCACTGCAGTGGATCTCCAAGGAGAAATGTAAAGAAATAAATGTAACAAAGGGCTTATTAGAGGAAAGAAGAGGAACTGACAAGTGAGCCTGGCATGGTCAGAGACAGAGGAACTGAGAACATGTAGTGTCACAAAGCGGATGCCGCAGTGAGTGCCACTCCTCATGACCCAGATCTCTATGTGCATTAGCCCCGCAGTGCAATCATCAGGGCCCTCAGCCTGCATCTCAAGGGCATCTTCCATCTAATGACATAGCCTGACTCCCTGGGATCCAGGCGTCCATTTGCCAGGTCTAATGTAATCAGGGATGCTGATTCTACAATCATGCTTTTCTTGCTGTCTCAAGATTTTCCATCTCTGAACTCTCCAGACAACATACGAGGAGACACGAGGCCATTTCTTCCACCAGTCCAACAAAATCATGCAAACAGAGAACTGGGAAACCAGTCCATCCCTTAATTGTGGCAACTTGCTTAAGTGACCAAAAATTGTCCATGTTCTCATGGGTCAACCTAACATCCTAAAGAAACATTTCCTTCTCCAAGTGAGTATCACTGACTGGTTGAGACATTTTGTTTTAAACGGTCAGGGGTGGGGGAGAAGGGAGGGATGGTGCAAGAAAAAAGGCCTGGTGGGGTGAGACAGTCCTGGAATTCCCAAAGCAACTGTAAACACGGAAAGAAGGAGAAATCCCAAAGGTAGACTGGTGAAGACATCTTTCATTTCTGCTTTCATGGACTGAATTCAATCTTAGTTTTCAAAGAGGTGCAAATCATTTCAACAACAGCTGAGAAGGCCCTTGCCACTTTCAGGCAATTCGTGATTTCGACTTTTGATCACTCTAGTCAAGTGACGCCAGAGGATGGAAATGTCAGTTCCAAGCCTGGTGTCTTTATTATGACTTCCGACTGTGGAGGCACAGATGTTGTACCTGGAAAAAGAGAGCATGCAAAGGAGAGACAGACACAGAGAAAATTCAACAGAAAGAGACAGGCAGAGAAAACAAGGGATAAAAAGAGTGAAAAGGGATAAAAATAGAAAGAAATTGCTGCTAGGGAAAATAAAGCAGAGACACATCCACCACCCCCCAAATAATGAACCACATTTAGCAAGTCTTATAGCTAGAAAGAAGCTGTTCAGAGCTTAGATTATATCTCTCTATCCTGCTAGAGAATTGGAGATGGAATGCTCTAAGATTCTATTTCTTATGCTAATAGAAATTTAGCTTTCTTTTTCCCTCTCGTTCTACGTGATTAATACAGTCCATTGTGCAGGCTGCTGAGAATGCCGTTCCCCAGGCTGGTAAGACTGCACAGGCCCTATGGAGGGACAGAGAGGAAGCTGGCTGTGCCACGCACCATCGGCAGTGTGACAGTTTTGGAGTGTGCCTGGCTCTCCTCGGGTGCAGAATCCAGCCTGAGATGAATATTCAGAAGTTGGTAAGAAAATGCACTGTGCTGAGTTTAGGGCTCAGGACAGGGTCTTCCCAAACTCCCCTTTCCCTCCACAACTTTAGCATTTGGGTCCTGTCAACTCTGCCCAGCGTCTTGGGGCTCTGAGGAATTGCACTTCTGCCCGATGTCCACTCTCACTCCCCACAGGCTTCCCTCTTCGTCCCCAACCCCCTCCTCCAAATGTGCACAAAGAGTGTGGGGCTGGCCCATCTGTGACAGATCAGAGGTCAGCTCGGGCCTTGGCAAAGGGGCTGCTCAGAGCGGCGCTGGTGGGGCTGGCCACACAGTGGGATTTCTCTCTAATTGGAAGCCTGGTGCCCAGCAGAACCCGGTGAACCGCCTGAGTGGGACAGAGCCAGCGATGACAGCCAGGCCAAGGCAAGCTGGAACATTCTTGTGCAGTGACAGCTTGAGCCATCGCAGCAGAGGCAGGCCATCCAACTCCGGCCCCCAGCAGAACAGGTGTCTGCAGAGCAGGTTTTGGGCAAACTTCAAAGAACTTCACAATTTTACAGTTTCTGATTTACAATCACAGGCAAGTGCTCATGAGCACATAATATGTTCTGGGGAATTTTTTTTTTCTTTTTATCTCCTTCCCCCCTCCCCACTCCCCCACTCTCACGTATACCATGAACGAACACAGAAAAAAGAAAATAGACTTAGGAAACTAGCTTCTTCACAAAATTACCTATGAGCAGTGATCCGGCCTGCCTCCAGTAAGAGACAGTGGCGACCTGCAAAGGTGGACTGGTGATGTAGCCTGATTCAGGTTGTAAAGTCTGACATGCAAAGCACACGATTTTAACAGAGACAATACAAGGAAGACAGGAGTCGGTTCTGGTACTTTTGAAAAGCAACCACCATTTTAAAAAATCCAAAAATTATGTTTATTTTATTTTCCTTTTCTTCAATGTTGCTAAAACGGAGAAGAACATGAACAGCTGCAATGAGGTCAGGGGCATGCCATGTAGAACTCCTTGCTCCATGGTTAAGAAGCAGGCTCTGGAGGAAGGAGGGTCCACTCCAAATCCCGGCTCCACGACCTACTAGTTGTGTGACTTTTTCTCTCTATGCCTCAATTTCTTCATCAATAAAATGAAGATCAGACTCACGCCCACCCAGTCAGTTGCTGTATTAAATGCAATGATCTTTATGAAATACTAGCACTGTGATCAGTATATAATATTCAATAACCATTCTTATGGACTTCACCGATATTATAATATTACATATGTAGAGAAACTACATGGCTCCACCTTCATTTTCTCCTGCCCAGTGATGGCCATTTTCAGAAGAGAACACTGAGGCTAAGCAAGATTAAGCAGCTTGCATGGAGTGAATCTATGAGTAATGGACTTCAATGTGGCTGCGATGCCTGAGCCCTGCCATGCCCCACATGGGCTTTCTTCTCAAAAGTGAAATGCCTTCAAAGACGCCTCCTCCTATAGTGAAGGGGTGAGACAGCTGCCCATGGTCGAGACAGCTTTCACGTAATGTCCTGTGAAACTTAATGTCCTCTCTTCTGGGGTCTTTCTCTCGATTCCAATAACTAGAGATATGCTAAGTCCTCTCCCTTACCATACACCCTGACTCGCTACTTCTCTACAAGGCTAAATGGGGCAGAATGGAAAAAAGGCACCACATCAGAGTCCCAGAGACTCCACCTCCACCAACCCTATCTTATTAAACTAGCCCCAAGGAGGAGGAGGTGGCCAGGCACCTTGAAAAGCCCGAGGAGGGGAAGGTGAGGTAAGAGGGCTGTGACACCCCCGGCACCATGGGAGCCGGTATCCCCAGCTTCCCCGGCAGGCAGTGCCACCGTCACACGGCCGCACTGCTCTCTGCCCCAGCTCTGATGCTTAAACAGAAGACTCCTTCCTTGCCTTGTGCACTGCTCCCTGCCTTGACGTTGGCTATCTCACAGCTGTTCAACCTGCTTCTCTGTCCCACGTGGGGCCTGGTCAGCCACGCTGTGAGGAAACTCCATCTGTCTGCTTGTTCATTCATTCTTTCATTCATTTGTTCAAGGATACTGATGGAACACCCACTATGTGAAAGGTACCATGCCAGTAACAACAGCAAATAAAATAGACATGGTCCCTGTCTTCATGGGGCACCAGTCTGGTGGAGGCTAATAAACACAAAGAAAGGTACTGCTTACAAATTAAAATACACACAAAGAAGGAAACCAACTGGATTTCATGATGGAAAGCAACAGGGAAACCTAATTATTTTTCTAAAACAAAAGTAACATTATAGGTAGTAATAAATTCAAATGCTATAGAAAGGTTTAAAATGAAAAATGTCCCTTCCGTGAGACCCAGTCATCTCCCTAGAAGTAATCACTGTTAACGATTTTTTCATATTTATTTGCTGAAAAGAATTCGCAAATAACACAGCACATATGTCCTTTTAAAAATGCTCACAGATGGGATCACACTACACAGACACTGTTCTGCACCTTGCTTGTATCTTTCCTTATCAACATATAGATGTATTTTACTTCTTTTAAATGACCTTCTAATATTCTATTGAACACTGCTCCACAATGCATTTAATCTAGTCCAGAGAGGATTTAATTTGGGGGTGTGGGATTAGGGTTAGTAGGGTTAGGGTTGAGGAGTTAAAGAAGGAAGAATACGTATTTCTGCATTGAGGACAGGGCAGCTGAAGCTGAAGGAGAATCAGGATTCAGCCAGGCGGGGAACAACATGTGCAAAGGTGCTCGGCGGTGAGAAGTAACTGGAAACACTGGAGAGACTGAAGGCGGGACGTTGTGGTTGGGCTATGCCAGATCCCTTCCAAGGCATGATGGGGGGAAATCCAGAGGGAGTAAGCAGGATAGAAAATGCATGTCTCTTCCTTAGTGGATCACTTCTGAATCTAACAAGCAGAAATAAGAGCTTCCTACTTTATCCTTCCATAATACTTTATTCGTGGCCACAGGGTAGCCCTCACTACCTTGTAGGAGGTAGAATCCATGAAATTTGCCCCAAGTCTGCCCCCTGGATGGTGAACTAGCTGACAGCAATGCCACATCCCAGGCATCTGTGCATTCCAAGGACTGGAAAAATTAGGAACAACTGAATAGAACTGCATTCAACAGATGCTCCTCAGGTCAGGAAGTGACACACACAGAAGAGCCATGTCAACCTTCTCTACTTCTCTACATTGTTCCAGTTAGAATCGCTACTGAGTCCTAAAGCTGCCTGAGTAGGATTCATTTCACAAGAACAAATAAGAGTAATCCTTGGCTACTTCCTGGATTTGATAACATCATAGCAAAGACTTTGGCTTCCTTCAGAGCTGCAAGGCCCCCTGGGAGAGCCCTGTGCATATCCAAGAAACAAGGGATGTGTGGAGACAAAGTTTCAGAGGAAGAGTCATTCAAACTTGGTCCAGTATGGCCCATCTGGCTTCCAACCTGAGGCTGGGTCACACTGCTTTTCACCAATCTCCACATTCTGGAACCACCCAACAGAGGCTTATTAACGCACAGCAACAGCAGTACAAATCTATTTCAAAAAGAGAGATTGCCAAATGGGAAACCCATTTTGATACTAGATCACTACTCTGCCGACACCCAACACATCTACCCAAAAAATCGTTCAGCAGATGATACCACAGAAATAAATGGGTGCTGCCTAAATAAATAGAAACTTATAGAATACCAATAGATCAATTACAACTGGTTTCAAAGATGTGAGCTGTTGGATGTGAGGGCAACTGCCATTTGGCCTGAAATACATTCATTACGGATAATATCATCACATGCGCACACTAAAATGCTAATTACCTAGCAAAGTCCCAGAAGGATCCTTTTCAGTTCCCGTAGACTGACAGTCAAAAGCCTACCTGCCTCTTCCAATGAAGCCAGCCCCAAATCTCTGTGATGCGTTTTGTGATAGCATGCGTTCAGATCCAGCTGTTGTTTGCCTGTTTGGGTACCGCTAGAACAGAAAGTGACTTCTTAGATTGGACTCAGCTTGCAATGAGTATACCCCAAGCACTACCCAGCTCTTCACCTGGAGTATAAATCTAACTCCAGCAGGGAGAGAACAAAGGAGACACCCCAATCTGGCCCCTGGGTCCCACCCAGGCAGAGATGCCTCAGGCAGGGAGCTTTTTCCTCTCTGTAACCCTTAACTCTTTGCTAATTTTCTTGGTTGGGGATTTCTGAATAGGATTCCCTGGTCATGTTCAGAAGGGCTTCTAGAGAACTACATAAAGTCTCTTCTGTACTCCAGCACTTTCTCACCTTGACATCTGAGCGAATGATACAAACGGTTGGCTTAGCTTTCCAGCTTCCTCAGGGTGCTTAATGATGACACCACCCCACTCCATTTACTCAGTGAGCTTCCAAAGGCAAATGCCGTTTGGTTACACACAATCTCTTCCCAAATTTCTTTCCCACTCAGTGCCCTGGCCACTGCAGAGCACTCACAGGCTGCTCAAGGCTCATATCCACCATACACAGCCAAGTTCAACAACCAATCCACATGAAAGCGATCTGGACATGCTGCTTAAGGACACCCCAATAAGAGCAGTCCAGACAAACCCCTGATTCTGTGTGCAAAGTCAACAGACATTCAGAGCTCTCAAGTGCAAGAAAACAATGCCCGTGTTTTTAGGAGATGACAACTTAAAACCAGAGATCATTATAATTTTTCTCTGCAGCTACAAAACTTTGTTTTACTGAATGCTGTTACCTTCTGCATCACGTATGGGGAATTTTAAACAGGCAAATGGAAGAAGGTCTGATTGAAGATGAAGTTAAGTGAAAGAAATTGGTCTCATTTAGCACATGACAGGATTCATCTGTGTTCCCAAGTCCACTGAGGTGGCATCATGGGCGTTTCATATTCATGAGCTGCTGCGACACTATGTCCCCTCATTTACAAAGAGCCGTGTTCAGCAAATTCTGTCCCTGTGGACACTCCATGCATTTCATGGTCTTGTCAGAGAGACATCAAACGCTCCAGTAACCAAATACCAGAAAATGGCTTTAATTAGTGGATCTCAATCGTATAAATAATTTTTTTCTAAGTCAAAAAATGGAGAATTTTTTAAAAGGGAAAAGAAAAGGGAAAGCAGGAGGCAACAGGCTTCAAACACCCAAAGGAACAAGGGAAAGAGGCAGTCTCAGAGGAGCTCCCGAGCGGTCCCCTGCACTCCTCGAATCAGGGGAAAAGGGGCACAAACACGTCTCAGGTCTCTAGCAGGTCTGCTTTATGAAGATGTGTCCCTTGTGATTTCACCTGATTAGAGCTGGGTCCAGGGCTGTGCTCGTTACTGGCAGGTAGGAGAAAAAGAGTCTGAAAACTGCGACAGTGGCTACGGAGCCATGCTGCAAAAGGTGTGGAACAGGACTGACCATACGCAGCATGCGTGTGGCCCTGCAGACACAGCGGGGCATATGGTCAGGAGCCATGCAGGAGCAGGTCCCTGAGGAGGCATGCGATGGGGAGACAGAGAGAGGAGGCCCTGTTCTGCAGTGCCAGTTTGGGGTGCCCATACGTTGAAATGCCTCCATGCTCCTCCAAACTGAATCTCTCCTGATACTGCTGGGGAAAAAAGATCACAGACCTTAAGAGGAGGAAGATCAAAATAGCTGACTGCTCCTCACAGCCCCCTAAGCTGTGACAGCTCTCTTGGCTGACAATGGGTTGGGGAGGGGGGTTTGGACTGAGTTTGGTTTCTGAGGTCAGTCAGGCCTCAGCACAGTTGTGATCTGGCTGGATCTTCAGCAAAGAAGGGGGTTTACAAGCACGTCGACTTGGCTCTGGAGACACTATGGTGTATGAATGCTGGACCTCATTATGTTACCCACAGAGGGATGTTAGCATGTTTCTGAAGGAGCCACGAATGTCATCCCCTAGACAGCAATGTTCCTGTCATCCCACCCAGGTCCACTGAAGGTTATACAAGAATCAGTATTGGCAATGCAAGGTGGCAGCAGCCAGGACTCAGCCTTGCAGGCCTGAGAGTCAGGCAGTGCCCTGAGAGGACTCTCTATAGGGAAGAGTCTAGCAGTCTCAGATGACCCCATTCTGAAGAGGACCCTGGCGTCACCTGCCCAGGTGACCTTTAGGGAGTATGGCCCGCTGGATACTGTCAATTGAAGGAAACGAAGAACGGAGTCCTGCAGTAGCTCTCTCAGAGCCTCGTGGAGGTCCCAGCTTTCATCTGTGGAAATGTGTTAAGGACAAGGAGGGGTAAAGGACTTTAAACGTGATGAAGAAATAAAGTGGCTAGAAGGAACGGAAGCTGAGGAACTCTCCACTCTCTTCAATAAGGCCCAAGATGAGTGATCTGGTATTAATGTGACAGAGAGCACCTTCTCAGAGCCGCCAGTGGAAGAACATTAGAAACCAGGCATATCTGATTCTATTTCATCCTCTTCATGTTACACTGAGAAAAACAAGACAAACTACACTGCTTTTATTCTAAATCCTTAGGTTTTGTATTTTTCCTTATATATATTTATTAAAAAAATGCTCCTTTGATCAGTGCCACCCGTGACACCCCCACATACGGAATGCTTCTGAGCGGCTCCCTCTGCACAAGGCCACTGCTGGTGACAGCCAGCTGGTTTTGATCACAGCCACTCGGAATCGAATTTTCATAAGACAGATGAGGAGTCTTACTGCTGCTCGCTCTCTTATCAGATGAGAAACGGGGGGAGGGGGAGAACGGGTCCTGAGGGAGCAGCACAACAATCAAGGGCGGCGGGGCTCTTTCTCTGTCCCTCCGCTGCTGCAATTTTCAAAGGAGTTCGCCTTGGGCACTTTTAAATGATGGTGTCTCAATTCTGTAATCATCTTTCAAGAGCTTTCTCTTGAAGGGTCTTTTAGGTAAACCTAGTCTGTCAACCACACTTTTGGACTCAGGAATCACATTGTGTCCTCCTGCATGTGTATATAGACAAGTACACACACACAGAGATGTGTGCACATGCGCACACACACACCGGACATCTCTGAATGTTCAGAAAGCTGGTAGAGCCTAAAGCACGAAAGGAAAACGCGTCACTTGGCCATGAAGTTTGCCTCTTGCGAGGGTCAGAGGATTCCCTATTACCTCTTCCCCAGATTTCTGCCCTATGTAGGTTTTGCTGCCTCAAGTCCTCCTTTAGAAACTTATCTCCATGTGTGATGTGTCAGAAGGAAAAGACTTCTCCAACTGAGGGCCAAGTGACGTCCTAAGTCCAACTTCAGATGCACAAACATGCCTGTCCCTTCCCATCTCACCTAGGCAACAGCTACCTGCCAGCCTTCAAACGGAGAAATGAACCACAGCCTTCTATTTAGGAAAGCACAGACAGTCACCAGTCATCCCAGGCCACAACCTGCTGTGTTCTGGGTTACAAAGACTGGAGCAACTCTACAACTCCACCTATCTTTTTCCATTGCAGAGAACATGGTGCCTTTTCTTTGTATAGTCCCTGTCACTGGAAACAGACACCCTAGAATACTGAGCCTCTCTTTCTTTCTGGTCAAATAAAAATCAAAGCAGTCTAAGATCTCCCTGGGCAGTGGTCCTCATCCATCTAAGGCCACTCTCCTGCTCGCATCCTCATTCACCCGCTCCTGTCACAACTGTGTGGAGGTGGAGAAGTGCTCGTGCCTCTTCCTGAAAGCTGAAACACCATGTACAGTCACATGTGGGACAGTCTCACAAAACTAAATGGGATTGGCTTTGTCCTATCCTGATCCTGTCTTCTGTATTAAATGGGGACAGAATCCAAGGAGTTACAGCATACAAACCCTGATCTCTATAATGATTCTGGGGAGATTTAACTCTCTTTTACTTTTGTCAGTGCTGAATGCTGGATGATTTGCTATTAATCACAATCCTCCTAACAGACTATAGCATGACAGAATGCTGACAGAGCTTTCTCTCTGTGTTCCTGGAGGAAGGTTAATACAACCTGCTTCGTTTAAAACATGCACGCGTGCACAAGACTTCCATTTTCATTCTTCACATTCTACCTCTTCAGATGCATGCAAGCAAGCTGCTCACATAACAAGGAAAATGGAATCCCGGAGACGTTACTACTATCAACCTTGTTTTGAGCAGGGATGTTCGTGATGGTATGTTTGGAAAGTCTGGTGTGACCCAGACATTTCAGGGCATAGTTAGGGACTCTGGCCTAGCCCTGCCAATGCAAGAGGAGGTCTGGTCAAGTCTCATGGCCCAGTGATGCTCTGCGGAATTTCAGTTCTCACCAAACCTCCCAAACTCTCCAATACTCACACTGCAATCTGTACAAGCCCAGTGAAACTCCTCCAGCCCTAAAATAGGTTCTCCCCTCTGGAGGATTTAGCACGGGCACTCTTGAACTCATCATGTAAAAGTACTCTCCATGGATTTGATGGAAAAAAGAGAGGAATGGTCAAACCTGAAGATTCTGCTTCATGTCACAAGAGCTATAAAGACCTGGTCTCTTGTGTTTGTCTCTAGCCAGCCCAGGCCCTGCTGTGGACAAGACTTGACAATGAGAGGAGCAACAGAACTGAGGACATGGCCAAGAAGTAAAGCTGAGAATCGCGATGGGGGAGCCGATATGCAACAGGAGGCTGGAAAACAGGTGGAGATGGGCCTCCTCCATAAGTAGGGCTGTGAGCAGGGGGGGTTAGGAGACACAAAGACCACGTCTGAGTCCCAGCACCACCATTTCCCAGCTGTGGTGTGCTGGAGCAGCTCGCACCAGCCCCAAAGAGCCACTCGCTAAATTCTTAGGAATTCTGCCTGCAGGTTGTCAAACAGAAACATGATTAAAGATGAAATTATACATTCTTATAATTAAATTATATTAAAAAGAAAGGTAATAAATACTCAAAACTCACCACTTCCTGAATTTTACTGTTTTCCTATTATCTGTGATCTTGAGGCTATGTGTGCCTATCGTGTACCTGTATGGAGGAAGTAAAGACCGTGTGATGGTGCTGCTGCCCATCTCTTCCCACCTCTGAAATCAGTGATGTCATGTTGGGAGTTTGAAATCAATCATGGTGGGAGTATTTACACCACAGGCTTGGCAAACACTACCAGTCAGGACCTTTCCCCGCACCTGGAGAGCACATCACTGCTTATTGGCCATGTGACCTCGATGAGTTATTTAACTTCATAAAGTTTTGGTTTCCTCCTCTGTAAGATGGTGAGAATCACTGTGTCTCCTTAGAATTGTGAGGATTAACTGAAGTACGGCAGGTAGAGCAGTCGGCATAACGCCTGGCTCACGGTAAACACAAATATTAATTACCAATATTATTTCCTACAAGAATGATTTTTCAAATTTCTTACCCAATATCCTGTAAACAGACCAACATTTAACAAAGCACTGAGACAAAAGAGAGGGCAGCTTAGTCCTTGGACCAGTAAGCACCAATCCACCTCACCCGGCCCCCGTTCCCACTATGGATGTGGAGTTCCTACACGCGCATGTGGTAGGAAAGGTTAGGGAGACTGAGAGAGACCTTAATGTCTAGGCCTAGTAACTCCGAACTTAGGAAAACAAATTGAGTTTAAGGAGTGTTATTTGATAAAACATCAGAAGTAGTGTGTTAGGCCATTCTTGCATTGCTATAAAAAAAATACTTGAAACTGTAATTTGTAAAGAAAAGAGATTTAATTGGCTCATGGTTCTACAGGCTGTGTAGGAAACACAGCGCCCTCTGCTTCTGGGGAGGCCTCAGGAAGCTTCCAATCATGGTGGAAAGTGAAGGGGGAGCAGGCACATCACATGGAGAAAGCAGGAGCAAGAGGGAGGGGTGGGGAGGCGCCACACACTTAAACAACCGGAACTCACTCACTAGCATGAGGACAGCGCCAAGGGGATGGTGCCAAACCATTCATGAGAAAGCCAGCCCCATAATCCAGTCACCTCACACTAGGCCCCACCTCCAATACTGGGGATTACAATTCAACTTGAGACTTGGGCGGGGACACATATCTAAATGATATCAAGTAGTTACGATCATTGTTTAAAAATTAGGGAGGCCAAGGAACCAGGTTTAGGAACCACCTAGGAAGTCTCATATGCTATATTAAGCCTAAGGAAGCAATGCCAACATAACGAAATGTTCTTACTAAGTGAGAGTGGAGTTGAGCCATCAGGGTTTCCATTGATTAGTTTTTAAAGAATTCTTTCTACTTTCTCTCTATGACAAAGCTGTTTCAGCTCAGAGTGACTCTGCTGTTTGAAGAAGAAGGGATGAAGGATATGCTGAAAGAATTAAGCAAAAAAATCTAGAGAGAGTCCAAAAGAGAGTTAGAAAGCCCAGAGACAGATGAATGGGAAGAGGGAGAGACAGGGGGACGACAGTCCTCTACAGATAGCATTTTTCTAATTCCATTGACAGCCTAGCATCTCACATCTCTTCCAGCCTCATTGCCTGGCTGTGTTCAGTCACTTTTACCTGTTTTCCCTGTTGACATGGATAGAAAATTGAGCAATTACCCTTAAACTCAGCACTTTCAGATCATCCAGATTGCTACACTTGCAGAATTAAGTCTTCAACTGCCCCTGGCTAGAAGTGGCTCAACCCAGCTTGTCCTTTAGGAATTAAACACTTTTTGGTTCGCCAGAAGGATTTATTATTCCTAAGGTTCTGAGGTATTCAATTCTGCCAAAACTGGACCTCAGGATGCAAAGGAGCACAGCCCTCTCCAGTGGGGGTGAGGCATGCCCAGGTGCCTGAGAGCTGGCAGCTGCCAGGAGGAGGGAGCTACAACTCCACTCAGTCTTGGGCTCTGCTAAAAGGCAATGGTTAAACACAAGACTGAGTCCTTTTTTTGGGCTCCTGTTTTCAGAGACTTTCTACTTTTTAAGGACATATTTTGGAGCTCACAAATTCTTTTGTAACTTGAATTTAGCTCTGAGATGAACTTTTGAAAGTTGAGTCCATATCTAATTGCATATTTAGAGATTATTCCACCTGAACATTCTTCATCTTTTTTAAAAGATAATTTGTTTGCTCCTGTCAGTGTGCCTCTCAATGCCCATCTTCAGTCTCACCTTCTATCCAGAGTTGACTTCCTGAGAATTGGGTGGTAGAGCTGGAAGAGACTAAGAAGGCCTGGAAGAGGTTAGAGAGGGGACATAACTTTGCACTTGCTGTCTCCTCTCCTCTCTAGGAGTCTCCTCCAGGGCCCCTGACTTCATACCCCCCTTTTCTGACAACTCTACTCTGCTCTCAAGTTGAAGTTTAAAAGTCATTTCTCCAGAGCGGCTTTCCCTCATCCCCCAGTCCAAATCAAGTCTCCATTCCCTTGGTGCTGTCCTCGAGATAGTGAATTCTGGTTGTTTTAAAAGTGTGTGGCGTCTCCCCTCCCTCTCTCTCTCTTGCTCCTGCTTTCGCCACGTGACGTGCCTGCTCCCCCTTTGCCTTCTGCCATGAGTGGAAGCTTCCTGAGGCCTCCCCAGAAGCAGATGCTGCTGTGCTTCCTGCACAGCCTGCAGAACCATGAGCCAGTTGAGCATCTTTTTCTTTATACATTGCCCAGTCTCAGGTATTTCTCTCACAGCACCCAGTGCACTCATCCTTCAGGGGACTCAGTCGCAGTTTGTCCTTACTTATTTTGCTGTGTGACTATTTGTTTAAGCCCTGTTTTCCTGAACAGATTGTAAACTGGATGAGGGTAAGGACAATGAATGTTCAGCTCATCATCACGTCCCCATGCTTAGCCCCATGCATCACAATCACACTCAGCAATATTCATCAAGGGGTTGTAAATGAACGAACAAATAAATGAACTAATGACTTGCCCAAAGTCACTTGTAGAGACTGAGTTCAAGCCTACTACAGATCTGATGTTCTTTCTCTAACACCATACAACTTTCCATGACAGAAGAAGTCTAAAGGACTTAGGGCAAGCTGGAAACTTGATTCCAAGAGCAAGAATGGATGATTATGCCACTGAAGGATGGTCATCTCAGTAAGACAGAGCAGTTTTGCCATCCTACAGTTTGAGGACCATGAGGTCATTTGGGGTTCTGGCTGTCCATCATTCTCCAGCTATTCTCCAGAATCATGAATCCCCACTTCCCTGAAGCATTGTGTCAGCTATAGTTGTGGGTAATTCTACCTAGAATCAGCAAATTAGGTGAGTGGCAATCTTCATAACTTAATCAAAAGCAGTTTATGTGGGGAGGATGAGTATTGTAGTTGGGAAAGGACCAGAATCAAGACCTATCTCTGCTGAATCAGCTTCTCTTCTGGTTACTATAAATTCCTTATTCATTCTCCATGTGGAGTCTCTTATGCTAGACATCCTTCCTTGGAAGGTCTTTCACATTCTTCTCTAGCTAGCCAACTCTTATCCATCCTTCAGGACCCAGCACATGCTCTTCCTTTCTCCTGAAGTGCTCTCAGCCCTCAGGGATCAGTTCCTCTTCTGAACTCATGGCCATTAGTAATGTAAGCCACTAACACAGGAATGACCATTTGCTGCCTTTGCCATCCACTAAACTGTTGTCAGCTATGGAACTTTTGCAGTGCCTTTTACCTTTTATGCCTTGTCCCCCCAACAAAGTTCTGTGCTCCTTCAGAGCAGTGCCCCACAAGGTCTGGTGAAGGATTTGCAAATCAGCTCCTAAAGGTCTAATCCAACTTGCAGATACATTTTGTTCTGCTTATAAAGTGTTTTTAAAAATTATTTCTGTCATTTTTAAAAACGTGAATTCGAAAAATTTTAAGCTATGCCAGGCATCTCCTCTCTGGGTTCACCACAGACCCCACCATCCTTTATTTTACATTTTTCTGTTTCACGGGTTTACGTCATCTGCCTGGCTTCTAGCAGAGTCTAAGCTGGTAGCCTGGTCATGGTCTTGTAAATAGTTCCCATATAGTACATTCTGGTTAAGCAATAGATCCCAAAGCCACCTCTGATGTCACTCACTCTCCATTTCTCATTCTGAAAACACACTTAATCTTCAAAGCGCCTTCTCTCTTTTTTTTTTTTTGAGAGAGTCTCACTCTGTCTCCCAGGCTGGAGTGCAGTGGTGAGTGCGGTAGTGCGATCTTGGCTCACTGCAACCTCCACCTTCTGGGTTCAAGTGATTCTCCTGCCTCAGCCTCCTGAGTAGCTTGGATTACAGGCGTGCACCACCACACACGACTAATTTTTTTTTTAATTTTTAGTAGAGACAAGATTTCACCATGTTGGCCAGGTTGGTCTCAAACTCCTGACCTCAGGTGATCCACCCACCTCGGTCTCCCAAAGTGCTGAGATTACAGGCGTGAGCCACTGTACCCGGCCTCTCTTCTATTTTTCTCTTCTCTTTTCTAGAAAGCCTGAAGCATCAATGGATGGAGAAAGTGCTTGTCTTCTATCCCTAGGCATCAGAGGTCTGGAAGAGAGCATGCATCTTCCCAAGGAAAGAATAAGCAACATGTACCACGGATGAAGCAAGGGAGGCTGAATGCTGAGCAATACACATAGAGAGAGACATGTCTCCTGAAAGTTGTCTATGAAAGACCGAAAGAAAGAGAAGGAAGGGCATTTCCTCACTGGATCAGAAGCTCCTGAAGGGCAAGGACTGTCTCATTCATCACTAACTCCAGCATCTAGAGCAATACAGTCCTCAGGAGGCGTTGGATGAAAAGTTGCTGGCTTTCCTCAATAAAGTCTAATCTCCAAGGCTGGTGGTGGAAGGAGACTGTCTACTGGGAAGGGGCCCTGACCTTAGATCCTCATTTCTATTCTTTAATATTCACACCTTGTCCTTTGGAATTGGTCACCAATCACATATCCCTACAAGTGTAAGAGAGTGATCAGCCCCTTCCTAAGTGATAGTGCTCCTTGCACAGACCACCTCAAAGAGCCTGGATGTGATTTTATTAGGAACCACTAGGTTTCCTTATAGTTGCCCAAAGATCTGCTTAATGTCATTGCTGAATGGACGTCCATGGATGATTCAGGGAAATCATTCCCGAGTTTCCCCACCCACTGGATATTCTAAGTTCAAAGGAGCAGCCTTCACTAGCCAACCAAGTAATTCTCTGAGCAAAGATAATTCTAGAAACTAGTTATATGTAACATATGATTCCTACTGCATAATGGATTCTAAACATTCATATACAGTGAAATGGACTAAGTCGAGTGTGAAGTGTAACATATGAACTGATTTTCCATTAAAGGACTCAAGCATAACTGCATGGAAAACAGATTTATGTTGGAGAAGAGGCATCCCTCCTGGAGGGTAAAAGCAGGAGCGCTCTCTGACAAGAAAGGGTTTTATGCTTCAAACCTCCAGGGCCAAAATAAAGGCCAAATTGCAAATTTCACATATCAAGTTTATGAAGGAGGAAAAAATACTAGAAGTATTCTTGAAAATAGGTATCTTTCTTCTTTCCTTCCTTAATGAAATTTTATTAAGCAGCCCATCAATCATTCTAGGCACTCTATATTACAAATCTGGAAGCTGACATTAATACAAACTACCTGTGGAAGGAGACGCCAGTGTATCTGAGAGTTGTACCATTTGTTAGAGCCTGGAGGCTAAGAACGAGGGCCCTGAGGTCAAGGTCCATATTCAGACCCTGGTGCTACCATTTATTAGTTGTGTGACCTTAGGTAAGGTTACCTTTCTTTGCCTTAGTCTGCTTTAAAATGGGGTTAATGAGCTGGGCACAGTGGCATATGCCTGTAGTCCGGCACTTCGGGAAACCGAGGTGGAAGGACTGGTTGAGCCCAGGAGTTTGAGGCCAGCCTGGGCAACATAGATCCCATCTCTTAAAATTTTTTAAAATAAATAATAAATTAAATGGAAATAATAAACAATCTAAATGTCTATCAACAACTGAACATACTGTGGTATGTCCATACAATGGAATACTATTCAGCAATGAAAATACACAGGCTAATGATGTATGCAACAGCTTAGATGAATCTCAAAATCATTACACTGAGTGAAAAAAAAAAGCCAGGTGCAAAAGAGTAAATACTTATGCTGTCATTTATATAAAATTCTAGAAACCACAAGCTACTCTATAGTATGAACAACACATTAGTAGTTTTCTGAGGCCAAGGGAGAGAGAGGAAGGATGGGCTGGAAGGGGCACGGAGGAACTTCTGGGTGATGGGAATGTTCTGTCTTGTGGCAGGGGTTTCACAGGTATATACATCTGTGAAAACCTAAATTGTATACTTTAATAAGGATATCGTTTATTGTATACAAACCAGGCCTTAGTAAAGTTGATTTTTCAAAACTTTCCTACTGATTTGTTTTGAGAAGTAAATGAGAGAAAATGTAGCTGGCATATGGTAAGTGTTTGGTAGTAAATGATGATGATGGTGATGTTGGTGGACACTGGGGCATGACAGCAGAGTGTCCTGGAAGTCAGAGGACCAGAGTTTCTCTCTTTGAGTCCTGTTATTTTATATAATAATCTCTGAACTTCACTTTCTTAACATGACAAAGGACAGGTCTGGACGAGATGTCCTAGAGAAGCTTAAAGGTGCAACAATTTGATCCTAAAGTGATGATGCCCCGATGGTGGCCAGTACAACTTTCTAATTCCATGTATTTATAACATGTGTAAACTTCAGTGCTCAGACGATTTTGCTATAACATTTAGCAGTTACTCCTTGAAATTTAGTATTTCCATGATGAAAAAAGTAGAGAAAGTAGAATTTCAGAAGTCTTTTCAAGGGAGTTGGGAATAGGTTTAAGGCAGGGTGGAGAAAAGCCTGGAGGAGAGTACAAGTCCAGATAATTCTATAGATTATCAATTTGTTTTCTCGTGTTTCCATTTAGAAGTTTCTGCCAAAGAACTCTAAAATCCTTTTTCCTGAGTTTAATGCTTTCTTACTTAAAACGCAAGTCTCTTGGTGCTTTGAACAAATACAAAACATGAGCAACTGGGGACTGAGGCTGTCCAAAGAAGACGTCCTGCAGGAAATAACTTGCCCTTTACTCACTTCTACACACCTTCAAGACTGGCCAGATCCTCACACTACAACTAACCAGCCTCCATTACCACTCTCCCTCATGCCGGTTCAAACCAGAGGCTCTAGAATCGTTGCTCTAGCATTACAATTTCCATGCACACTGCTCCTTAACCGCCTACCCACTTTGCTCACGTCTGGCAGACACTCTACCTCCTTCAGTCCTTGGGTACAACCTCTTGGATGGTCACCTTACTGTCCTATGCAACCAATGGCTGAAGAAGCAGTCTGCGATGACAGGCAGATTGCAAGTGTGACCAGCAGCCACCAATCTCTGAGGTGACAATTTAGCACTGGTAAAAGACATCTTAGGTACCTATCTAGGAAAACAGACTCTGAGAACAGAAATGCAAGATCTCATATTTAATATAGTCATTGGCAATTATTAGTGGGTGGAGAAGTCTAAAAGGAAGTTAGTGGGTAGTGCTAAGGAGGAAGATCTGTCATGAAGAGATACTGGAAAGCAAAGAAAAAGACTGGAGAATGATGAGAGTATGGTCTTACTAAATCTTAGAGTGTGGAGTGTTCTGACCTCTAATGACGACTCTTCCATCTTTATTGCCCCCCATCCCCTGCCCGGAATGAGATGAGGCAGAAGTACTTCTTCACAGGACTCCTGCCCTCGCTGGTCCTCAGTTCCTACAGAGTTGTCAAATATTCATCTGGGGAGCTTACTTAAATTCATGCAGACTCCCCAGCTCTAGCTTCTGATTAGTGCATGGCCTGGGATTATACATTTTAACCACCATCCCAGAATATTTCACAGATGTTCTTTCTGATCCTTTCCCTAGTCTTGTGATTATCAGAGAATTATCTAAGTTTTACAGACTGAATTCTCTTTGTGCAGTCACAAGCAAAGGTGTTCCAAAAAAAGGCTTTAAGACTCCATTTCCCGCCATGAGAGAGTATGTGGTACTAGACTTGCCCTTTTGCCATAAACAACTAGAAAACTGGAGGAAAAATACATGGTACTACTGTTTCCAGACACTGGATAATAAGCAGCCTAAGACTTTGATTCCTGAGAGCAGGAAAACAGATAAAGTAAGCCCTGGGTCACTAGAGGTCATTCCTGGACTTTGGCACAGCTTGGGGGAGCCCCACACATAGCACGAAGGTCTCACTGAGTTGAAGGGAGACTGAAGTTTAGTGGGGCTTAAGTGGCTGGAATTTTAGAAGCAAAGTCTGAAAGACTGGGGAGCTAATGGAGAGGAAAAGCTCTAGAAGTCCAGACCGACTGGATACTAAGCTGTGCCTCTGTAGGGTGAAACTCCACAAGCCTGGGCAGACTTGAGCACAACCTCCTTGACTTAGAGGGGGTTACGCATTATGATATTTCAGACGAGATCTGGCGCGTTCAGGGTGGTATGGCCATAGACTGCATTATGATATTTCAATAACTACTGAAAAGGTGTGAGCTAAACAATCCCCAGCACTTATACAGAACTGGAGGAGGCTCAGCTCCACTCAGCTGGAGTAGAGATCTTATTGAACAACCAGGCATTAGTGTTTAGGGCTAACTCTAGACCTGCCCTAATGAAGCTTTGAAACAATTCTCAAAATGCTCAAATTGATTTAAGAAAATATATTAACTGCTTACCAAAACAAACACAGATGTTCCACAATTTACAGTGGTTTGACTTAATGTATTTTCTTTTTTTTTTTTTTTTTTTTTTTTGAGATGGGATCTCACTCTGTTGCCCAGGCTGGAGTGCAGTGGTGCAAACTCCGCCTCACTGCAACCTCTGCCTCCCAGGTTCAAGTGATTCTCCTGCCTCAGCCTCCCGAGTAGCTGGGATTACAGGTGCCCGCCACCAGGCCCAGCTAATTTTTTGTATTTTTATAAGAGATGCGGTTTCGCCATGTTGGGCAGGCTGGTCTTGAATCCTGACCTCAGGCAATCCACCAGCCTCGGCCTCCCAAACTGCTGGGATTACAGGCATGAGCCACCGCGCCTGACTGACTTAACGCATTTTCAACTTTATGATGGTGCAAAAGCAATACACGTTCAATGTGGTCCTTGACTCAAGAGGGGGTTATGGATTATGATATTTTGATTTATGTTACAATATTTTCAACTCACAATGGGTTTATCCAGACTGTAAGTTGAAGAGTGTCTGTATATCAGTCTTTAAAGGAAGACAAGATCCAGACTCAACATAATGATATTCACAATGTCCAGCATCCAATCAAAACCTACTAATCATGTAAAGAAGCAGAAAAACAGGCCGGGCGCGGTGGCTCACACCTGTAATCCCAGCACTTTGGGAGGCTGAGGCAGGCGGATCACGAAGTCAGGAGATCGAGACCATCCTGGCTAACATGGTGAAACCCTGTCTCTATTAAAAATACAAAAAATTAGCTGGGCGTGGTGGCAGGCACCTGTAGTCCCAGCTACTTGGGAGGCTGAGGCAGGAGAATGGCATGAACCCAGGAGGCGGAGCTTGCAGTGAGCCGAGATACAGCCACTGCACTCCAGCCTAGGAAACAGAGTGAGACTCTGTTTAAAAAAAAAAAAAAGAAGCGGAAAAATATGACTTGTAACCAGAAGAAAAATCAGTTATAGAAACAGACTCAGAAAAGACAGATATAATGGAATTAGCAGCAAAAGAACATGAAAAGAGCTAGTACAGGCTGAGCATCCCTAATCTGAGAATCCAAAATGCTCTAAAATCCAAAACTTTTTGAGCACTGACATAATGCTCAAAGGAAATGTATATTGGAGGATTTCAGATTTTGGATTTTGGGATTTGGGATGCTCAACTAGATAAGCATAATGCAAATATGCCATAATCTGAAAAAAATCTGAACTCCGAAACACTTCTGGTCCTAAGCATTTTGGATAAGGGATACTCAGTCTATATAAAGGCTACTATCAAGGATGAAAGAAAACATACACAGAATGAGAAGATTAATGGAAGATATACAAAAGGAAACCAAATGGAGCTTCTAGAACTGAAAAAAATATGTGAAATAATAATCCACTAGATGGGCTTAAAAGCAGACTAGACATTGTAGAAGAAAAGACCAGTTACACAGCAATACAAACGATCCAAGTTGAAGCACTGAGAAAAAAAGTAGACTAAAAACAAAAAACACCAAGCCTCAATGACCTGTGGAGACAATTGTGTGGGCATACAAACTTGGAATTAGAAGGAGTGGGAGGGAAGAAAAATATATTTAAAGAAATATTGGCTAAGATTTTCTGAATCTGATGAAAACTATAAATCCACAGACTGAAGAAGTTCAAGTAGGATAAACACAAAGAAAACCACACCAAGGCATATTAGGAACAAATTGCTGAAAATAACTGATAATGGAGAAGAAATCTTAAAAGCAGATAGGGGGAAAGATACATTACATACAGGGGAACAAAGATAAGAATAATGATCGTCTTCTCATCAGAAACAATGTAGGCCAGGCGAGGTGGCTCACACCTATTACAGCGGGTGGATCACTTGAGGTCAGGAGTTTGAGACCAAACTGGCCAACATGGTAAAACTCTGTCTCTACTAAAAATACACAAATTAGCCAGGTGTGGTGGCATGTGACTGTAGTCCCAGCTAGTCAGGAGGCTGAGGCAGGAGAATTACTTAAACCCAGGAGGTGGAGGTTGCAGTGGGCCCAAGATCATGGCACTGCACTCCAGCCTGGACGATGGAGTGAGACCCTGTCTCAAAAAAAAGAAAGAAAAGAAAAGAGAGGGGAGGGGAGAGCAGGAAAAGGAAAGAAAAGAAGGAAGGAAGGAAGGAAGGAAGGAAGGAAGAAAGGGAGGGAGGGAGGAAGGGAGGGAAGAAAGAAAGAAGGCCAAAGACAATAAAATAACTATTTAAAATGCTAAAAGAAAAAAATTGTCAGCCTAGAATTCTGTGTCTGGTAAAAAGTTGAAGATGACATTTTCAGACAAATAAAGCAGACAGAATTTCTTGCCAGACAACCTGTTCTACAAAATAATGATAAAGTTTTTCAGGCTGAAGGAAACTGATGCCAGATAGAAACTAGGATCTACACAAACAAACAAGGAGTGTGAAAATTATAAATAAGTGTGTCTAAAAAAAAAAGGCTTTGACAATTTGGGGCCGGGCGCGGTGGCTCACGGCTGTAATCTCAGCACTTTGGGAAGCCAAGGTGGGAGGATCACTTGAGGTCAGGTGTTAGAGACCAGCCTGGCCAACATGGTGAAACCCCATCTCTACTAAAAATACAAAAAATTAGCTGGGTGTGGTGGCATGCACCTGCAACCCCAGCTACTCGGGAGGCTGAGGCAGGAGAATCACTTGAACCTGGGAGGCAGAGGTTTCAGTGAGCCAAGATTGCACCACTGCACTCCAGTCTGGGTGACACAGCGAGACTCTGCCTCAAAAAATAATAATAATAATAATAACAATAATAATTTGGATCCCCTACGTAATCTCCTCCCTAGAAGGCTTCATTTTAGAGACACACACAAACTTCATCTTTTCTCCTGATATTTGAACATAGGCTTCCACTGTGCCACAGCTACTTGCCTTGTTAGTACTGTTTTCCCTGCGTTTATATAGCTAGCCATTAACTAACTACTATGCGTCACACACTGGAGATGCAAAGATAAAGAACATGTGTTGTCTGCCATCAAGAAGCTTAGAGGTCTGGTGGGAAAACAATCAAGCCAACAAAGAGTTAAAGCACAGTACATCCTAACTGTACTCAAATCCTGGCTCTACTCACTTAGCAACTGTGTGACCTTGGGCAACTTACTTAACCTCTCCATGCCTTCGTTTCCACAACTGTAAAATGGGGATAATAGTAGTACTACGGGGTTGTGGTGAGAGAAAATGCTTTAACATGTGTAAACTGGAAGGACAGTGCTTGGGATATAGTCAACACCTAGTAAATATTGGCCATGTTATTACAATGTTGGTTTGCCAAGGAGGTTAGAGGAGCATGGAGAAAGAACATCCAGTGAGAGAGGGAGTGGGATGGGAAGGGAAGATGTTTCAGGGGAAGTGATGCTTTGGCTGACCTTTTGAAGGATAAGCAGGGTTATCAGATAAAGAAGGGAGAGATACTCCAGGTAGAGGTGGCAGCATTCAGCAAGGCATGAAGATGTGCATCAGCATGCGTCAGAAGACCACTGCAAATGTCTTCAGTGATGCTGCAGCCAACAGTGCCTTAGCTGTAGCCCAGGAAATGTTCTGGGGCCTCTCTAGAAGACCTTTTGACTTCCTCCAAGGGCCTCTTACCTCCTCCATAATCTGATCCATTCAGGCTCTGTGGTCTGAGGCGGAAACTGCCCCCAAAAAAGAAGAAAAGGACAGCAAAAAATGAGTTTCAAACACGGAAAGGAACATCCCAAATGTTTATTGTATCCATTCTTTCTCCTAGATGAAAATGTCCCTGAACCTGTTTTTCTCTGTCAACTTAGTCAAACCTAATTAGGCCACTGGGTGTGCCGTGTGTGGTTGCACAGGCTGTGCGATGCACTATTCCAGAGGACAGCATCACAGAGGCTATGACATGAATGCAGCTTCCGCCCCTGGGAGTAGGAAACTGGGTGGCCCTACCTTCACAGCACCTTTATCTAGAAAACTTCTTTCTTTTCTGATATAAGTCTTATGAGAAGGCAAGGCTTAGAAGCTGGTATTGCTTCTGCCCATCTATATCAATAATGCAGAAGGCATGGGCCAGTACCCTGATACCTGGACATATAATTCTAAAACCACACAGTGGGAGATAGGACATGGGCATCAATGCCAGGGTCCAGACCTTCAGTTGAGGAAGCGGGATTAACCAAACCTTGGATTCAGCAGGCATCAATAATTCTAGCCCCAGACTTCTAACACAGTGTTCAACATAGGTGGAACAGATCATGACCACCAAGACTGCACTGTTGACCAAGATCAACATAGGATACCATAAGAATAAGAATACTGGAAACGTACTCTTCTATTTCTTCAGAAGCCTTCCTCCTAAACCTGAAAAAAAAAAAGAAAAGACAAGGTTTTTGAGAGCCCACTAGTCTCATGCACCAGGTAGTATCTTGAGGAAGGTTTCAAAAGTGGAGGCAAATTAGTATATCTCAAGTGCTTTATTTGTCTGCAGTCCTCTTTAGAGACAAGCCCCACAACCAGCATGAGAGAACTGAAGATGCTGTAGTGCCTTCTTACAGCTTTATGTCAGCCTCACTCCAAATTGGATTGTTGAGAGTGTAAGTGCAGGTTGAGCGAGTGGCTTAAAATTCAAATAGATACAGATGATTCAGTGCCCTCTTTTCTTTCAGCAATTAACTGACTGATTTATAGAGTGCTTTCTTAGGACTGAGACCCTGGGTCTTATTTGGTGTTGTTAGCTGTCAGCACTTGCGACTTGCAACGAGCAAAAAGGGATGTCCTCGCCTCGCAGTTCAGGCTTCAGACTTTGGAACTGCTTTTCTGTGCCCTTCACACGAAGGACGAGAGGACCTTCTGAGTGATGGTGGGTGAGGAGTGACAGGGCCTGGCTGATACACGCGTATCTATGGTAGTGGTTCTCACACGTCAGGGTGCATAAGAACCATCCGCGGGGCCTGTTAGATACACAGATTGGTGGGCCTGGCAGGGAGATTTCTGAATCAGCTGGTCTGGGTGGGTGGGGGCAGCCCAGGAATATGCATTTTTAAATTCTAATCTAAGTGGGTCACTACTCACACTCTGAGAAACACTGATGTGAAGTTTTCTAATAAGACTGGCGAAATGTTGATGATTATTAAAGTTGAATATTGGGTACATGGAGATTACATTTTTGTATGTCTGAAAACTTCCACTATTCTGTCATCATAGGGTTTTTTGTTTGTTTGTTTTAAATGAGTTATTTGAAGTCAGAAATCTAGCACCATGATGAGCAAGAGCAAAGGATGGGGGCAAAGGGCGGCAAATGGCCTGGAGGCAGGATGTAGACCTTGACAGGGTAGGCCACCAGCCTTGCCAGTAAGAATTGGTTTCGAGGAGCCAACCAGCAATTCTTGCAAAACGCAAATAACTCCCCCTGCCAAAAGTAGAATTCTACATTCATTTTTTTTTTTTTTGTCAATTAAAAAATAAAAATTTCAGCCAGGCACAGTGGCTCACGCCTGTAATTCTAATACTTTGGGAGGCCAAGGCAGGTGGATCATTTGAGGTCAGGAGTTTGAGACCAGCCCGTCCAACATGGTGAAACCCCATCTCTACTAAACATACAAAAATTAGCCAGGTATGGTGGTGGGCACCTGTAATCCCAGCTACTCAGAGGCTGAGACAGGAGAATCGCTTGAACACGGAAGGTGGAGGTTGCGGTGAGCCAAGATCACGCCATTTCACTCCAGCCTAGCAACAGAGTGAGACTCCGTCTCAAAAAAAATAATAATATAAAATAAAATAATTAAAATGATTTTAAAAAGTAAGTCAAAGTTTAAATAGACTGCTTTCCATGGAATTTAGACTCTATCAACTGTACCATTTTTAAAAAGGAAGAATGACGGCTGAAGTGAGGTGGGAGAATGGGTAGGTCAAGCTGGAAGAACAGGGTGTAACAACTCTAAGGGAATCTCCCAGGCTGCAGTTTCTGACCCTTAAAGAGAGATAAAGGAGACTCAGCAATGAAGGTTATGAGGGCAGAAGGAGACAGAATGGGTAGTGGGAGGCACCAAAGAGAAACCACTGCAGGGTGCCCAGGGCATCCCCAGCCTGGTGTTGCTGGATGCTATAGGCTTCCAATGCCTATTCTAAGTAAACGGAATCCTAAAGGAAGAGCACCCAGTAGCCATCAAAGCCACCTTCTGTCTGTGTGGGAGGACAGAAGCTGTCTTCCCAGTTCACGCCGTCCCCAAGGACCAATGCCTCTAATTGTCCTCATGAAGTTAAACTCTATACCCCCATTGTCCGAATGACACAGCTAATGTCACCAAGGGTAGATGTGCTTGGATGAAAACAGGGATAAAAGAAGAATCCCGGGATTAAAGAGGCTAGGAAGGAAGGCTGGCGCCTTCGTTGTGTACATAAGAGACATATTTGTCTCCAATTACCCTCAGGAGTTATGACCGAATCGTTCCTTCCCTACACAATGTGCGGTGGCAAAACCAGTGGCGATTCTGTCTGAAGGAAACAATAATGATAATGCTAATCTTTCGGGGGAGGCTGATTAATTGCCATTTATCCACTCAATATCCAAAAGGGGGATGAGTTTAATATTCAGCTTAATTGCTGCTGAGCCCACATCCTGCTCTCTCACTCTAGGGGGAGCCCAAGGACTCTCCCCTCTCCCTTTTCTCCCAACAGAGGAAGGAAGAAAGATCAAATGGAGTCCTCAAGGACGGGCAGCAGGGATGCCCTCAGGTGGCGTGTTCTCTCTCATTCTCTCTCTCTGCCAGAAATAACGGGTTCTGGGAGCGCACTGAGTGGGATGGTGCGCCCTGCCTCTGATCTGGGTCACAGACCGAACACTGGCCACTTCCCAGCCTTACCTAGCCTGCAGATGAGTTTGGTCTAAACCATACTGCTGTCTATTTTTTGTTTTGTTCTGTTTTAATGTAAATTCATTGCCAAAATGGGGAGATTTTGTATAAAAATCCAAATTTCTGGACTCTTAACTTTTTAGTTTAACTTTTTAGCCTGGCAATACTGGACGTGCAGTGGATGAACCTGAGCTCCCCCGACCCCGCATTGCTCCCAAACACTGGGGGTCCAGAACTAGTCCTGAATTACATGATCTGCACTGCTGGTTTTCCAATAGGAGTGAGGAGGCTGGCAAAGTATGTCTTGCAGCTATCAAATATGAGGAGGCAAAAAGACAAAGTGGGGAGCGTGTTTTAGGAAAACTGGCAGAGTATATTTCTTTATAGAAATGCGAACATGCAAATAATTTGTGTATGTATCTCAAGAATATGATTGAAGGTACCATTCTGAAATAAAACCCCATTTCACAGATTTACTTTATCTGCCTGGTCCTCAAAGGCACCTCAGGCTAGTGCAGTGACAAGGAGCCCAGCAAAAGACACAGAATCTAGCACGATGTTTTTTAAACTTCAGGTCATGACCCACGAGTGAGCCATGAAACCAATTTAGTGGCGCACCACCAGCTTTCCTTTCCTTTTAAAATTTTTCTTTCATCTTTCTTTTTTAATAGCACAGAAAACACCATGTGCTGAAAATAGTAAGAATAGGTATTATGTAAATGTTTTGTTTCCTGTTTTATATATACACATACCCAGTCATGAAGTATATTTTTATTTTTTATTAATTTACTTTTTTTTTTTTTAGAGACAGGGTCTCACTCTGTGGCCCAGAGTGGAGTGCAGTGTTGAGATCATGGTTCACTGCAGCCTCAAACTCCTGAGTTCATGTTATCCTCCCACCTCAGCCTCCTGAGTAGCTGGGACTACAAGTGCGTGCCACCGTGCCTGGCTAATTTTTTTCTATTTTTCGTAGAAACAGGGTCTCACTGTATTGTCCAGGCTGTTCTTAAACTCCTGACCTCAAGCAATTCTCCTGCTTTTGCCTCCCAAAGCACTGGGATTCAGGCATGGGCCACTGTGCTCAGCCCTGACTGTATTTTTAAACTACTGGTGACAGGTTAAAAACAAACAAGCAAGCAAACAAACAAGAACCTAAAACACAGTAGTCTACCACAGTCCACAGGGTAGGGAATTAGAGAAGAATCTGATATGGAAGTTCTGCCTCCCAGACTGTGTGAGGACAGAGGTTGAGGTAAAGAATTATGGGTCCTGGAGCACCTCTTCAGAGACACTTCATTCCCAACTTCTGAGGAAACTGAGGCTGTCGATGAGGCTTGTGTGACCTGGGCCCAGCCCTCTGACAGGCTGTCTGCAGAGCTGAGATCAGTATAGCCTTGGGCTGCCGGTTTATTTCTGTACTCAGGGCCCCTGTGCCTTTTTCCCCAAAAGTGGCTATTAGAAGTTTGGGGAACCTGGCAAATCATAATTCCAGCGAGATCACCTCACACAGAGCACTTTTCAATACTCTTCAAAGATATTCACATCTACAAACACTACCTCGGCTGAGTTCTGGAGAAGAGGAAAAGCAGGTTTCAGCAGCACAATTTTATACACAGAGAGGGACGCTGGGCACTGCAGCTGTGGGCTTCACCCAAATCACAGAGCTAGTTAGTGATGAGGCTGAAACTAGAATCCATGTCTCCCAACTTTCACCCTAGATTCCAAACACTTTGCCTCAAGCCTTTTCAAAGGAAGATACCAGTTGATTATCTAATATCCCTAAGGCACCCAGACATCTGCTTGGATTTACTGTGTAGACGGTCCCTTCTTGACTTCCTCTCCTTATGGAAGGCACGATATGGTATAGACAGCAAATTGGAAGCTGGAGAGAATCTTTTAAATTAGTCATTCTTCAACAGTGGTGCACCAGACTCATTCCCGGAAGCTTTTTCAATGTACATGGGCTGGGCTTACTCCTAATCTCCCTGAGGTAGTAACTTCCAGAAATGGGACCTAGTCACGTAGACAAGACTCCCTGCCCTAAGCCTTGAGACATTCAGCTGAATACTCCAGTTGCTAAGCAGCAAAACTGAAACTTATTTGCCTTCTCCTCCTGAGTTGCCGACTTTCTTCTAACGGAAGCATTAATGAACATGGACTTGACCTAAAGGATGAGAGGAGGAAGAAATAGCAAGGGGCCTGAATGGTCCACTAGGTGAAGTCTCTGTTCCTGAGTGATCCTGAAATTCACGCCCAAGTACGTGGTGTTCATGAAAACTAAGCAGGTGTTCTCCACCACACCAGGCCCAGAGCAATCCAGATCCGATTAGAGATGCTCGTTCAATATTCAAAATGTAAAACACAGAGGTTGCTGAATCAGCACTTTGAAAAGTTAATTAAATGCCAGGTTTCTTTTTAAGAGCTACTCCATCACTCACTGATTGCTTTGGCCATTTTGCAGAATGAAGTTTTAACCTGGGACAGTGACAGTAAACGTTCTCTCTCACCTCCGCCTCGTGGAGCAGGGTGAGGGAGCAAAGACTGGCTTCCCCTCCCCACATCACGGCGGGCTGATGGCCCTTTCCAAATTGCCTACAATGCTCAGCCACGAAGCTGCCAAGGACTCAGAAGCTTGGCTTCTCAGGTAGACGATGTGAAGGTGAAGGCGGTTGTCTTGCTGTCGTGACTTGCATTTAAAGCCCAGTACCTCAGCTCCACACTCACCCAGTCCCGTCCTGGTCTTCATCCCAGCTTCTCTCTGACCTACGCTTAGCCTCTCCTGCCTGGCTCAGCGCACCCACTCTCAACTCTCAGGGGAAAGAAAGCCCAGTCCCAGGTCTCAGCCCACCCTTCCTTTGTGCTGTCCCTTCCCCCACAAACCTGCCCTAAGAAGGATGACGACTGATGACAACAGTCAACATTTACTGAGTTTGTTAGGCACCAGCCACTGTCATTATAGTATTTATAATACTATTATACAATTATATAATCACATATGTCCTATACAGTATACATTATCTTATTTCAGTATTATAGTACCTTATTTTATTCTCTTTGTTTCACAGAGGAGGAGCTCAAGAGAGGTAAGTAACCTGCCTAAGGTTACCTACCTAGAAAGTGGTAGGGCCAGAATGCAAGCAGGGTGTCTGACTCCAAAGCTCAGTTCCCAACCCTTACACCATGGAGACATGCGGGCATTTCAACAGCATGGGAAATGCTCCTCTGCTTCAAATCCAACTAATATTTTCAGGACGGGGACAACTTTTCAACTTATAGTAGGGCTGTAGCTTTGTCAGTCCTGATGATCTGGTAGTTAATGTTGGCTTAATTGTTCTGTGATTTATTATATGTTTTATTTACAACGCAACAGTGTGCATCATGGCAAAAAAGAGACCCATCTAGCTAAGTCACCTTTCTCTCCATATTCCTCCCTTTTTGAAATTCTTTTGCTCAAATGTAATCCCTTTCTTTGGCATTTGGAGCCCACACTGACATTTGACGGTGTGATTTGGGCAGCTGAGCACAAGCTGGATCCCAGTGGCACATCTGTGACTTCAGCCACATGGGACCATGGCAGAATCTTGGATCCTCATAGTTTTATTCCTGCCTGCAGGGTCTGTCTCCTCCCTGCTGCATCAGGGGGCCTGATCTGGCCATCATGATCGAGTGGGACTAGCAGGTAGTTATGACCCCCAACTGCAGGGACCCCATGAACTTCTGGGGAAGAGGCCGCAAAACAACCTGGATTCCCTTCACCAGACAGAAGAGGCCTTAACTGCTGCTACATGGGTTATGTGCTGAAGGGTAAAAGGCAGCCCTAATGTAGACATCACCTCAGTTAAAATGTTTCTCTCGAGTTTAATGGAATACTGCAGAGATCTAAATGGAGATAAAGTACCACGGCTCAGAGAACAGCCAGGATGCTATCTTTATGCAGCATGACAATGTTCAGTGGTTAATTAGACACCGTTAACCTATTTTAGCAGGGGACATAACCGAGATAAATGGGGGGAAGCGTCCTTGAAGTCTCTTAATATCCACAGCACATACTGGACCCTAGACCCACCTCCCTGCTGCAAGGCAGAACAGGCTTAAAATAGACGAAAGTGCCAAGCACCTGGAGCCTTGCCTGTGCCCGTGGAAGGCCCTATGCGAGTCCATCCCTCAGGGATCACTCCGACCTGGGGAGGAATGTGAAGGGTTTGGATGAATGGTTCTGACTATAACTTGTTGCAGGTGAAAGAAACGCCAAAGCCATAGGAAGGCACCTGCATGATTCCCATTACAAAAGAGACAAAACTGCAGCCAGGGGCCAAAGGCATGAAGAAAAACTGGCCAGGGGAAGAGCAGGAAAGAGATACCAACTACGTTGATGCCAAAGCTACTTTACATTTTTAAAATGTCAAGTAAAAATTTCTTCCTCTGGAGGAAAAAAAATCAAAATGCCATTTTCTTGCAAGGTTTTCTACCCTCATAATTTTTAAATGTCCAAGAAAAATCTCACAGTTGCCTCCAAACCTCATTGAGGTAAATTTTACCAAGGCATGAGAGAGAGAAGGCAATATTCCCGGATCATCTAATGCCACCAGCAAATCCAGAACCAAGGCTCTACTTTATAAATGTGTGAAGCGCCAAATGAGCCTTTGCAGTGAAAACCCAAATGTGAGGAAAGGAGAAATCTGCCATTGTCATCTTGGCCACACTGCTCATTCAATCCCAGGCGGTACACTGGATAATTGGGGTCCCTCTGCTCTAAGCTGCCCCCACACCTGCAATACTCATTAAAAGCTAGATATTTCTCATGAACTGAAGTTTTCCTTGTCCAACAGATTTCTCCTCATTTAAATCTCCCCTGAAAGCTGCAGTCACCACCCTCTTTCCCCTCAGTTCCTAGTTCTTGCCACTCATGTGTTTAGCATCTAGTATATGCCGCTAGGTACCATATTTTCTTCCTTCTTTTAAAACAGGCAGGTATTCCCTAACACCCAAATTTTGGCACTCTGGGGTTTTAGGTCACGCTAGATCATATTTAGCTCCTGCCAGCACAGTTCATCAGTAAGATGTCTGGTAGACTGATAAAAAACTCATGCCCATGTCCTCTCTTTACACTGCCAAGGCCTAGTGAATCACAAGGCAATTCCTGGGAGAATGTTGCCCCCTGCTGCTCACATTAAAAATGACAGCTTTGTTTTGCTTCAAACTAAATGTGTGAAAAAAGGTTGAAATACACAGAAACGCTTTGAGTAGCTACAGTTATGGGAACATATAAAATGTAATATGCCTGCTATCAAGAAAAGGCAGCAGAGTTTAGAACTCTAGAGGTTTTAGCCCTCTCAAATGAACATTTTTTTATTCAGGAAACCATTACTGGATCACTAATCATCTACTAGGCAGGAGTGAGAGGTGTTGGGAATTGGGGATCTTTTGCTCAAGATTTTACAATCTGGTAGGAGAAAAGAACATTACAGAAATAACACTAACACCTCCATAAACTTACATACTGTAAGGCCAAAAAGACTCTCACCACCAGATGGGTACAGCGGTGTGCACCTGTAATCCCAGATACTCAAGAGACTAAGGTGGGAGAATCACTTCAGCCCACGAGTTTAAGACCAGCCTAAGCAACACAGCGAGACCTCATCTCAAAAACAAACAAACAAAACCCAAGAAAACAAACAAAAGACTCCCACCACATCCAAACACTCCCACCACATCCAAACACTCCCACCACATCCAAACCCTCCCACCACATCCAAATACTCCCACCACATCCAAACTGTCAGCTGCTAGATGAAGAAGTGGAGACCAGGAGTCCTCAAAGAGATCTAATGAAGGCTCCAAAGCCAGTGGACGCAGTGCTGGACCTGGAAACTGAGGTTCACAATCCCTCATTCTACTGAGCCCCAGATTTGACAGGACAAGTGAGGAAGGTGTAAGCAAACTGTCACAGGAGCACTAAAGAGGGAACCAGCCATTCTAGCTGGGGATCTGGGGAGGCTTCATGGAAGCCTTGCCAATGGAGAGATGAGGAGGCTTGCAATGGGCAGAAAAGCTGCAGGAGGGAAACCACTCGAACAGAGGTCAGAGGCATGCAGGGGCTGAGGTGTTCGGAAAACAGAAGGGGACATGGTGTGGCTGAAATAAGGAAAAGGTGGTGGCTGGAGATGAGAATGGCGTCAGGGCTGAGTGGGTAAGCAATAAGACCAAATAAGTTGGTATTACTGGTGTCAACTCTATAAATACATACACTGACATTGATCAGGGATCAGGAGGGATTTGGGGGCTTGAAATTAACCATGGGTTCTTTGCTTTCCCCCTTCAAGTTACTTATGCCCACATATAGAGACCTCAATGATCTAATATTTTGCAACTTACCTTGTATCCTGCAGTACAAAAGCAGCACAGAGCAGTTAAATGGAAGTTCTTATTCTTCCCACTGGGAGAAAGAAGGGGGTTGGGGGTGGGGAGAAGCAGCTAAGAAGAACCGCTGTATGAGTGTTCCCCAAATGTCTGCCATTTCCAAGTGCCACCTTCACCAATTTTGCTATAGCTATGTACTTTCTGCAACCACTTAGCATTTTCTTTAAATTGATTCCTTGGTTTTAATACATTTTTTTTAAAAGAAAACTCTACATCTTCATGGAAAGCTATCATCACCAGCCATAGGGAAATAATTGTAAAAAAAAAAAAAACACACAGCTTTTTAAAAACTACAAACTTTATTAGCTAGACATTGCTGTTTGTCAAAAATCCAAGAGCGTACGGCCTATTTTGTATTAAAAGGGGAGATTAGTAGGGTTAGAGAAGTGTTAAAGAAACACTGGCTGTAAATGGAGACTTTTCCATTGGCATGATCAGAGGATGTGAAAGCTAGTGGAAAAGAATAACTTTGGGACTAGACACGAATCTTGGGAAAATCGAGCTACAAGGATGGAAGATGGAGATAAACGAGACTGGATGTGGTGACTGAGACTAGTAGAAACCATGTGCCACAAGTCAAGGGACAAACTTCTCAGTGCTTCTGGAAACCTTTATTTCAATTCATGTTTAATTGCTGGAGTGGGTCTTTTACTTTTCCTGTACAGAAGTTTCTGCTCTATAATGGGGAAACCTGTAAAGATTTCCTTCTAGTAACTAACCCACCATCTTCTCTGCTTCTGTTCTTTTACATTCTGTGATTTCCCCGAAACCCCATAAATACACTGAGACTCACCCAAGTCATGAGGTACATGAAGAGAAGGTGCCTCAGTTCTGGTTGCTGGCATGCGAGCCACTGGGGGAGCACAGGACCATGTGTGGCAGCCTCCTGGGAGGCTCAGGGCCCACCCTGGTGAATCCCTGGTAAATAAGAACCAAGGGCACCCTGCCACTTCAACACGTGGGCTCTTTTACAATGGGTGCTGTGAAACCTGGAGAAACTGGTGTAGCCATCAGTATTCAGCTCTGGTGGGGGCAGCATGGGTCAAAAGGTAAAATCACTGACCGACCCACTAGACCAGAAAAAACTCGGATGATGTGAGGGGCCTCCATTTCCTATGCATATTTATACCTATGTGTGCCCAACCTGTTTCATCTATATTAAAATTGCTGTTGGGTACTTCTCCATACAGGACTCAAAAGAAAAGGAAAGAAGTAGGTGTGATGTTCACAGATGCATTTTATTTTTGAGAGACCGAATCCATCAAAGGGAGAACAAGGAGATCATTTATGTTCGGAGAATTTTAACCAATGGTTGGCCTCTCTAATCATTCCCTCCTGGCTTTCAGCTGCTCACTCTGCAAAGCAGCAGGTCCCCCTTAGCAGAGACTGGCTGGCTCAGGGGACACAACTTTTTTCCTTGGAAGTTTTTTTGTTCAATAAGATTGCTTCATACGATCAACATCTCAATTCTGTGAGGGTCCCAGAGGGTAGCAGTAAAGACAATTTTATTCTAACAGACTCACTCTTGCACAAATAGTATAGTGCATGGCCTTTTTGTGAACTTGAGATAAATGCGTGCAGCGCTCAAGGTTTGAGAATGGGCACGGCTGCAGAACGAGAGGCACATTCTATTATACTAATTAGCTGTACGACCTTGGGCAGTGGGGCAAGGTGACATTTAAGGGCCTTTCTAACTCTAAGATTCTATAACTCAGTGTCACTTAACCTCCCTAGTTCTCATTTTCTCCATCTCCAAACGGAAGGGGCCAGACTCCATAGCTCCTCAGGTCTCTCCCCAGCTCTGTGAATGATCACCAACCCTGCCTCCCCTTGATTCTGGCCCCCACCCACATCTGTTCCCCATTAATACTGCTCTCCATTCTGACAACCCCCACGCAGTCCCTTCCTTGCAACTGGTTTATCCAGCCCTAAAAATCTCAATCAAGACAGTGTAGTGTGCAGGTTTGGAAACTGCAATGACAAAAAAAAAAAAAAAGGAGGGAGGGAAGGAACAGAGGGAGGAAGGCAGGCGGGCAGGCAGGCAGGCGGGCGGGCAGTCCTGCCTCTTCCCTTTTTCAATTACTTTTAGGCAAAACAAAGTTGACCCAAACTCTCTTCCTACTTAAGAATTTAAGGCATTTTCCTCCTTGTTCTGTTTCTCTTTTTCTTAGCTGTTGTCAGACCTGCTACAACTTTCCACAGAAATGTTACTTCCCCCTTTATACTCCTCTCCTAAACAGTTAACCTGCTCTTAACATTTCCATTTGTTTTCTTCCTGCTTAATATGACTTCTTTATTTCCTTTCTCTCCAAGCAGTTGGAAAGAGGATAGCTACATAGACCTGCTAAACCTTCCAAACAGAGGGAACTCAGAAACCAACCTTCCTATTCCCCACATCAGAGAGGACTCTAAGAACCCCAGGCTCAATCACTCAGAATCAGGCCAGCCAAGGTATACGTGCTGAGCTCTAATCTCAGGCCCCAATTTAAACAACTAGCTTGAAGCCAGTGGTTCTGAGTATGGGCTCCAGATTCAGAGGGTGCTATGGTTTGAATATATGTGGCCCCTCCAAAACTGATGTTGAAACTTAATCCCCAATGCAACAGTATTCAGGAGGTGACAAGGCCATGAGGACTCCACCCTCAGGGATGGGATTAGTCCCTTATCGAAGGGCTGGTGGGTAGCTAGTCCCTGTTGCCCTTCTGCCTTCTGCCATGTGAGTCCATAGCAGCAAGGTGTCTTGGAAGTATAAAGTAGCCCTCACCAGACACTGAATCTGCTAGTGCCTTGATCTCAGACTTCCCAGACTCCAGAACTGTGAGACATACATTTCCATTATTTATAAACTACCCAGACTGTGGTACTTTGTTATAGCAGCAGGAATTGGCTACAGGTTCAGAACAAAGTTTCATAGGTTCTGGCTTCAGAACAAAGTTTCATCATTCATTAGCTGCATGCTCTTGGGCAAGTCACTTTAAACTCTGCCAAGCTGGTGATAATATCAAATTCTACTTCATAAAGTTGTTCTAAGAATCAAGTAAGTTAATTCAGGCAAAGCATTTTGCATAGAACTTGGCACACAGGAAGTGCTCGGTGAACAGTGGCTGTTGCTACCACCATCATTATTGTGGTGATGGTTGTCCTCATCCAGTCTCTTCCCTGTGCTGCTTGTCCTTGCTTGAGGCGTCTTTCTCCTCAATCCTGTAACTGATCCCCACCCTGAGATGGGTGCTGGCTGGGTGTGCCCAGGGGAGTGGCTACATACTTTTTGCTTCTGGGGACCCACCACTTCCCCTGCTTGCACATATTGCTGCCTCCCTTGCTGAACCTATCCAGGCCACCCTCACTGGCAAGTCCAGCAGCCTGCCCTCGCCACCTGACCTGTTGACCTCATCTACAGACCCCCAGCCCCACATGAGAAACATTTTATCCCGCTCACAAAGCCTCCGCACCAGCTGGCCACTGCTTTCCACAACACAATTAATTTACCGCTCAATTTCTCAGCAGGTAGCCCTCTCATTTTTTTCCATCTTCTGCTTTACTTTTTCTGCCTCTTGGTTCCCTTTCTTCATTTCAGTCACTTCTGTTTATTCCTGTCTAAAAAGCAACTTTTTCTGGCTTTCACATCTTTCTAAAGGATTCTCCACCTCTGGGAAGCTTCTAGAATTAGGTGAAATGGTTTCTGCACTACCTACACACCCAACCCTCCACATCACATGACACGGTCTTTATAGTAGGGCAGTCTCATCCAGTGACTTCTGAAACTCAGCTCAACAGGGTCAGACCACAGAAAATAGCTTGGCATCCACCCAAAGTCGTCTCTCCCATCTTGATTCAAATACCAGTTTTGTTTGGGGTGACAATGAGCCCAACTAAAAATCTGTTTCCTAGCCTCTCTGGGGCTGAGGGGTAGACCCGTGAGAAAGATGCAGCACATTCTTCTCCCTCACCTCCAAAAAACAAATTCTTGCTAAGAAAGAGCCCTTCACCGTCACTTTCACATCACTCTTTCTTCTGCCTGGAAAACAGAGGTGAGGCTTGGCAGTATAGCAGCCATCCCACAACCAGGAGGCACGAGCATGGTGACAAAGGCCCACACGCTAAGGATGGTGGGGCAGAAAGGGAAAGAGCTCCATCCCTCCTGGCTCTGGGGGTGCCTACAGCCCCGGGCTGCTAAGCCCTGGACCTCTCCTTTTGTGAGACAAACTCCTTTCTGTTTAAGCTTCTGTTAATGGGATTTTCTGTTGACTGCAGATTTTTAACTCCAATTACTATAGCACATCTCAAATGAGAACTCATTCTAGTCAGGAAGGAATACAAATCCTATGGAAAAAGCAACCTCACATAATTATAATTAGTTAACCTTCATATATGGTTTCAGAAGAGAAAGCAATGATTTGAAATGGATGCAGGAGGAGAAGAATTCTAAGGATGCGAATGAGACACATTGCCAGTATCTGCTAGAGAAAAAGGTGGCAAACCCAGGGGAAAAAGATGAGCAGACCCTCTCCACAACTTTGTCTAGCCTGAAAAGAGAATTCTTGCTATAAAGAAGGAGGATGAGTGAGCCCTTAAGAAGAGTGTGTTATTGTGATTTATAATAAGAAATACATATTTAGTCTTCATCTAAATACAGATGACCCTTGAACAATGTGGGTGTTGGGGCACAGACCCCCCATACAGTTGAAGTTTAACTTAACCACATACAGCCTACCGTTGACTGGAAACCTCACTAGTAACATAGTCAATTAATACATATTTTGTACGTTATATGTGCTATATACTGTATTACAATAAAGTAAGCTAGAGGAAAAGCAGAAAGAAGAAAAATGTATTTACTACTCATTAAGTGGAAATGGATCAGGAGGAGGAGGAAGAGGAGCGGTTGGCCTTGCTGTCTCAGGGGTGGTGGAGGCAGAAGAAAATCCTCCTATAAGTGGACTTTCTCAGTTCTAAAGGCCAACTGTAAATATTTGGTTTCCTGGCACATAGCTCCTAAAACCCTTGGAATCTCCAATGTGTTATGTCTTTTTGTATGCTAATGAATGACTGATGGGAGATAGATGAATGGGGGGACTCCTGGATGGTCTCAGGATGGAGGCTGGTACCAGGGGAACCTACTCCCTGACCTCAGGAGAGGAGATGGGCTGAAGGTTGATCTGATCACCAATGACCAATGATTTAATCAATTGTGCATACATAATGATGCTTCCATAAACACCCAAAACGACTAGGTTCTGAGAGTTTCTGGGCTGGAGAGCAAGAATGTATTCAGGTGATGGGAGGGTGGCACACTTCAACTCCATGGGAACAGAAGCTCCTACAATTGGGTCTCTTCCAAACCTTGCCCTATATAGCTCTTCATTTGCATCCTTTAAAATATGCTTTGTGGCCTGGCATGGTGGCTCACGCCTGTAATCCCGACACTTTGGGAGGCTGAGGCAGGCGGATCACTTGAGGCCAGGAGTTCGAGACCAGCCTGGTCAACATAGTGAAACTGGGTCTTTATTAAAAATACAACAATTAGCTGGGCGTGGTGGTACATGCCTGTAATCCCAGCTACTCAAGAGGCTGAGGCACATAGGGCGGAAGGTGGAGGTTACAGTGAGCCGAGATAGCACCACTGCATTCCAGCCTGGGCGACTGAGTAAGACTCTGTTTCAAAAAAAAAAAACCAAAAAAAAAAGAGAAATAACATATGCTTTGTAATAAATTGGTGATAGTAAGTAAAGTGTTTGTTTCCCTGAGTTGTGAGCTACTCTAGCAAATTAATCAAGCTGGAAAGGGGGTCATAGGAACACTAGATTTACAGCCAGTGGTTCAGAAGCACAGGTAAAACAACCCAGGGCTTGCAACTGGCACTGGAAATGTGGGACAGTCTTGTGGGACTCAGCTCTGAACCTGTGAGATCTGATGTTAACTCCAGGCAGATAGCGTCAGAATTGAGTAAAACTGTAGAACAGCCAGCTAGTGTCCACTGCAGAACTGGCTATAGTGTATGGAGAAAAACTTCTATACATCTGGTGTCAGAGGTGGAGCACTGAGGGTATAGTAGGAGAAAACAGTTTCCACATTGTGCCAAGAGGACTCTACATTGGGAGAAACAGATTTCTTTTTACATCTGCAAGTACCCCAAGGTTGTCCCATGTCAAAAAGGCATTCAGAAGTGCGGGAGGCAGTGGCTGCAGTGAGCCAAGATCGCACCACTGCACTCCAGCCTGGGCGACAGAGCGAGACTCCGTCTCAAAAAAAAAAAAATCGTGATACCTTGCACCACCAGTCATGCACCTGTCAACACTGCAGTGGCTCCTATTTCCTAAAAAAGGAGGGCCTGCCTGGAGTTCCAGGCCCTGCACACGAGCTCTTCTCTACCTTGCCCACCTACCCTTCTACTCCCCTCTGCAAAGCCTGGTGTGCTCATCCTAAACCCTGTGGTGGTTCATTCATGCCTCTACTCACCTGGCCCCGGCCCTTCCTCAATGCTTGTCAACTGTTTTGCTTCAAGGTAATATAATAACTCAGAAACTAAAAGGACTCGTTTCAAGCAAGCCATCTAGAAAGTATGTTTCAGATGTTCACACATCCTTTTGGAGTTGGAGAGGGCCTTTGAGACCCCTTGTGTGTAAGGCTGAAGAGACAGAGGCCAAGGGCACTGAGCTGGCTGCATGGGGCTGCTACACTACACCTCTCTTCCTCTCATCCCAGCCCAGGGCTCTGCTCTGTGCCCACTGCACAGGCAGATGTCCTGACTCCTAATGACACTTGGGGAAAAGGTGGCCCAATAAGAGAAGGTGGCACTTAGGAAATGGCCTCAAAGGCAGAAACCTAACCCGATTTAACATGTACTTGGAGTGCCTCGCTCTGGGCTACTCTGCCCTAGTCTGCCATGGCATCACAGGCCCCGAAACCAGAAGCAGTTTTACAGGTGCACCTGTAACTAGAACCTGGCTCCTGAGCGGGCTGCCTGGGAATGGATCCAGTTCTTGGAGGGCACTGCAGGGTTAGAAGGGACAATCATTTCCAATGCGTAATTGAACTTAATGACTAGCCTAATTAAGCCTTTTAATGGCAGGGCTGGCAGGGCCTTGGCCAGTACCCCTAAGCACAGGCTGCATCCTCTGCACTCACCTTCTTCTGGTGGGTCAGGCAGCTGGCTGGAGCACAACTCTGCAGAGAGCGAGGCCAAAGGATGCTAGGAAGGGCTTAGGTCATGCATGCACTCCTTGCTATTATTCTCACAAGCTGAACATGTTGGTTTCTTGTCAAAAGAGCCCTCAGGGAATATCTGCTGAGGTTCTACCACGGGCAAAGATGCTGTATCAGGTGTCAAGGGGCATAAAAACAGAAGGCAGCAAAGCACTGAGAATAAGACCATGATCCCTAGGATCAGACTTACGTGGGTCCAAATTCTGGCTGGCTACTCACTAGCTGTATGACTCTGAGCAAGTTACTTAACTTTTTTTTTTTTTTTTACTCTTCAGTTTCCTCATCTGCAAGCAGGGATAATAACAGCACCTACTTCATAGGGTTGTTTTGAGGAAAAAGATAACTGTGTTTAGCACAGTGGCCAGCAAAAGAAGTCACAATAAATAATGTGTGTACGTGTGTGTGTGTGTGTGTGTCCTCGTCCATACAACACAAGGACTGGACAAGACACGTGGGCTCTCCACAAATGGGTTCTGCAGCACTTTCGTGGAAGCCAGAATCTGTTTCTGAGGATGAAGGTGCAAATTTCCTAAAGTCTAGAGCTGTCTAAAAAAACTCAGGGGACAGATAATGGCAAAAATAGAAAGAAAGAACCTAAATGTCCACCAACAGGGGAATAGTGCATCTGTACCACGGGATTATCATGGAGCAGTAAGAAAACTGCAGTAAATCTACGTGTACTAAAACATCTCTAGGATGTACTTACTGCAAAGATAAAAAAGAATGTAAGATGCAGAAGGCACTTAATGTGATCTGTTTACATAAAAAAAAAACACAGACTTTTGTACATACACGTATTGAAGTGGGTAAAAGATACCAACAAACTATTCCAGTAATTACTTCTAGAGAGATGGCTAGGATCAGAGTAAATAGTAGTTTTAGGCATATTTAGCTTTATCTGTCTTGTTTGAATTTTTACGTCATTAAAGAGCTACCAGTTTGCTTGTACAACTAAAAAGGACTTTATTAAAAAACAGAATCAGTGGGGCTGTTTCTACCAAGTTCCCCAGCTGGAGGGGTTCAAGAAGACCCTGGCAAGCACTTAACAGAAACACTAGAATTTCACAGGACATTGGATGAGACTGGCTCTAACTTTCTACTCTTGCAAGCCCTGCACTTTCTACCAGTCCAGAAAAACAAAGGAATATTCCATAGGTGGCTGTGCTTTTGGCTGTTATCATTTAAGGGACACTTCCATGGGCCACTCATTTCTTTCCTGACCTTCTAAGACCCTCCAACTTTACAATACTACTCTTGGCTCCAATAATTGACCTGCTGTAGTCACCAGAGCATTTTCATTTCTGCAAAACTAGAACTGTAAAGGGCCAAAAGTCAAAGCCTTCACAGGACATCCTGAGAACCCATTCTAGAACCACTCTTGGTTTTAATTACAACAAAGGTCAAGGGTAGCTTCACTTAAGAAAAGCTGAAGGCCAGAGAGGAAGGTGGGAGCAGGCTCTCAGGGAGGTAAGGCTTGTGCCTGCACTTGGCCATCTTTTGACAGCCTTCCCTGCAAGGCCAGCCCACAGGCAGTTGGGAAACAGTTCTGCTGACTTGGGCCCTTAGAGGTACAGCAATTGGACAATGTGTGGCCTCAGGGTCTCAGCTGTCCTTTCCCTGGCACACATGCACAGGCAGCAAGTTCATCTCGAGTCCCCACCTGTTCTCCAGCCACCTCCCTAGGGGATCGGGTGCTCCCCTCTGCTCCAGGGAGAGAACTGACTGGGGTCACTTGTCAGGAGGACTGCTCCGCTTTTCAGAGTGGGAAGCAAAGTATCCAAATGCTGCTGCAGCAGGGCTTGTGGGGACACACTGCTGTCCCCTTTGAATGGGAAGCACTCAACAGAAGTGCAAGAGTCCAGAGATTTCATGCTTAGTCATTTGCCTAAGTAAATGGGCTGTGTGACACTGGTCACTAGCCATCCGAGGCCTTAAACTGCAATGAACATAACCTAGAACATCTCTGCTTGCTCTGCACCAAATGTCACTATATCAACCCAAGTAGAAGTGCATGAAAGTGCTCACCCAAATCCTCAATGAGAAAAAGGCTGATGCACCTTCATACCTCTTCCCTAGCCTATGGGATCTATGTGTACCATATCTAAAGCCTTCACAATACTTTCCAAGGGTGATGTTATACTATCACATGAATACACAATAGAAGTCTGGTTTTTTCAGTCTGGGAAAATATCACATGTATTGCCTGCCTATCATTACTTTTACTGAGACAGGAAATTTTGGAGTACTCTGTAGCCCTTAAAAATAAGGCTGTTCAGCCAGGCACAGTGACTCACACCTGTAATCCCAGTACTTTGAGAGGCCAAAGTACTGGCTTGAGCCCAGGAGTTCAAAACCAGCCTGGGCAACATAGTGAGACCCTGTCTCCACAAAAAAAAATAAAAAATTAGCTGGGTGTGGTGACACACACCTGCAGTCCCAGCTACTCAAGAGGCTGAGATGGGAGGATTGCTTGAGGCTGGGAGGTCAAGGCTGCAGTGACCCATGATCACGCCACCTCACTCCAGCCTGGGTGACAGAGTGAGACCCTTTTGTAAAAAAGAAAAGAAGCTCTTCTACTCTGTACTGAGATTCAGAAAGATCAGCAAGAAATATTGTTAGAGATTTTTTTAAAAGTGCAGAATGCATATGTTCCCATTTGTGTCTGTAGGTGGGTGAGGAGAATATATTAACCTGCATAGAGTACCTTTGGAGAGAAACACGAAAAAAACTGGTTAAAAGTGGTTGCCTCCAGGAGAGGAAACTGGGTGCCTGAGAAAGTCAGGAAGGGAGAGAGAGACTCAGGTTTCATATCCCACTCTTTCATATCTTTTGAATTCTATACTATGTTTCTTTTTTATTTAAAAATAAATAAATAAAATTCACCAGTAGTTCTAATGTCTCAAAAGAAGACACGATGTTATACAAAGACTAAAATCTAAAAATGTATACTGTCTCCACATCCCACTCCCTTTCTCTCTTCCAGCCCTCTTGAAATGATCCACCTTTCTCAACTTAGTTACATTTGAGCTTTAAGGTCAAAGACACTTCACTCCACAAAAAGGCAGGCCAGGCACAATGATTCACACCTGTAATCCCAGCACTTTTGGGAGACCAAGGCAGGAGGATTGCGTGAGATCAGGAATTCAAAACCAGCCTCAGTGACATAGCAAGACTTCATCTCTACAAAAAATTTAAAAACGTGGCGAGTATGGTGGCACACGCCTGTAGTCTCAACTACGCAGGAGTACCTGTAGTCCCAGCTACTGAGGAGGCTGAGGCCGGAGGACAGCTTGAGCTCAGGAGTTTGAGATTACAGTGAACTATGATCACATCCCCACCCTCCAACCTGGGCAACAGAATGAGACCCTGTCTAAAAAAAGAAAAAAAAAAAAATGCAACATACCATTACAAAAAGGGGTTGTGTCTAACATTAGACCTGCGTGCCTGTGCTGGACAAGGGTCCACAGAATGAACAAATGCTTACTTTTACATCTGTGCCCATGAACAGTGACTTTCAGGAAGTACCCACCTCACTGTACACATTTCAGGGGCTAAGTAGGAAAGGACACCAGGCCCAAATGCGACCACCAGTTAGAGCGAGGTCTAACTATCAGTTTAACAGGGAACAGGCTCCACAGATGAGCTGTTCCACCATGACCCATCCATTATTCTCATTCCTCCCCACCCGCCAGCTACCAGAACAAATGAAATCTACCAAAATAATACAAATGTGTGAAGATAGGAAAGGACTAAAGATAGCATGAGTGTGACACATCTCACACTTTTCCCTACTTCAATGGGGATAATTATTTTTCCCTAGTTATTTCGATGTACACAGTCTGGGGGGCTATTCATCTTCAAATCTTGCTGAACATCTATGATTTCCTATAATAAACAATGCAACTGAATCCCAATTTTTCAAAATAACTGTGGATTCTCTAAGTTCATGAAAATAAAAACTTATCTAGCTCTTCCTCTATCATCTTTCTGTCCAGGCTCTGAGAGCAAAGCAAAAAATTACACTTTGGGGAGCCTACCTAGAATAAACAAATCTAAGATGTACATTAAAAAGATATGATGTCACATGGTCCTAAAGCCATCCTTTCTAAACTGACCATATCTTGGAAGGCACGTGAAAGAAAAGCATCTATGCAGGGCAAAATGCATGACGGTGAAATTGAGACAGAGATCCAAGCAGAGAGTTCACACGAGCATCTCCAAAAACCACAGAAATAGAGACATAGCCTCTAAACTCTAGGCACAGCCACTGGAAATGCGAGCACAATTAGCTTCCTAAGACCTTCCCTTCTCAACCATCTCACATGCAACAGCCCCATCTGATTTTACCCAATATTGGACACTCATTTCTGGTACCTGACTGACAGTTAAGAACCCACGTTGCCCAGGACTCCGGTCATGCCATACTGATTCCGGGTTCTTTGCGGCTAAGGGTAGCAAGGGAAAAATCAATTCTCAATACTTCTAATTTTGTTTTGTGTTTCTTGAAAACCAAATGAGCAAAATTGTGTTTACCAATGAAAATCTGAAGGTCAAGGATTAAGTCCTTTTACTTTACTGGAAATCAGAGCTGCCTCGTCCTACCAGGGACACCCTTTTCAATTATTAGAGCTCTGTAAGAAATGCCCCAAATTTACTCATTGATCAAATATGTATGGAGCACCTATGTGTTCCAAGCCCTACAGACCCAGATGCAAACAAAATAGACAAATATCTCTTGCATAGTAACCACTCGCTTGTTACTATTAATAGTAATGCAAAGGCAAAGGCAGCTGCAGCTCTTAATCAGTTCAATAAAATTAAAAAAAAAAAAACAGAGAATGAGGGAAAAGCCACATTTAGGCAAATATTAACAACTGGTTGTTCAAGGTAAAAGTGTGCATGGGTGTTTGCTGTACTAATACTGCAACTTTTCTATAGGTTTGAAATTTTTTAAAATAAAAATACTAAGAGAAAAAGGTAGGGTTACAAGTATAAAATGTATTTCAAGCAGCCAAGTAGCTGGTAAGAGTTCATTACAGAAGAATTTCTGTTAATAAATGGAAATTAGACAGTCATCACTTGACAACCTTTAATGAAATCATGGCTCTAGCAACTATGAGCAATGGATGCTACAACCATGAGAGGGGAGTCTGATGGGCGCTATAAAGTGGAGACTCACACAGCCCTGCCCCCACTGGTCAATCACAGGCTGAAAGTGGAATGACCGGACACCTGTGCCTTCTCATACCTGTGCCTTCAAGGCAATACAGTGGGATGTACACGGCATCACCTACAAAGTATTCCTGCCAAAACTGGGCCTAAATGGAACTCCCAGTTAGAGCTACACCTAACTATCAGTTTAACAGGGAATATGAGGGACAGAGAAACAAGTTAAACACCATGACTAGGAAGCAACAGACCACATCCAGAATGTGGGAAATTCTACAGGACAAGTTTCTTTAAAAAAGGAAATCATCATGGCCACCTGGGCAACACAGCAAGACCTTGTCTCTCCAAAAAATTTTTAAACATTTAGCCAGGCATGGTGGCGTGCACCTGTCCTAGCTAATCGGGAGGCTGGGGCAGGAGTATCACTTGAGCCTAGGAGTTCAAGGTTGCAGTGAGCTATGATCGTGCCACTGCACTCTAGCCTGAGCAACAGAGCAAGATCCTGTTTCTAAAAAAGAAGGAGGGAGGGAGGGACAGAGGGAGGGAAGGAAGGAAGGGAGGGAGGAAGAGAAGATCAATGGCATTGGGAAAACATAGGGGGGTGGTGATTGTTGCAGAATAAAATAGAGACTATAGAAATATAACAACTAGGCCAGGCATGGTGGCTCACGCCTGTAATCCCAGCACTTTGGGAGGCCGAGACAGGAGGATCACCTGAGGTCAGGAGTTCAAGACCAGCTTGGCCAGCATGGCAAAACCTTGTCTCTACTAAAAATACAAAAATAAGCCAGGTGTGGTGGCGCGCGCCTGTAGTTTCAGCTACTTGGGAGGCTGAGGTGGGAGAATTGCTTGAACCTGGGTGGCGGAGACTCAGTGAGCCGAGATCACACCACTGCATTATAGGCTGGGCAAGAGAGTGAGACTCCACCAAAAAAAAAAAAAAAAAGAAAGACAGAAAGAACGAAAGAACAAAAGAACAAACGAACGAACAAACAAACAAAAAAAAGGAAGGAAGGAAAGAAGGAAGGAAGGAAGGAAGGAAATGGCTAAATACAATATATGGACCTTGATTTGTTCTGTTTACAATCCACCTATAAAACACATTTTTGAGACAATGGAAGTAACTCAATATGACCTGGATATCAGATGACATTAAGGAATTATTAATTTTGATATGCATCCTAATGTCATGATGGTTAACAAACAAAAACAGTCCTTATCAATTAATAAAAATTATCTCCAGCAGCAGCAGGAAAGGTATGAGGAAGGGAATCAATTGCATTATTTATTATTTATATATCGTCAAGCTTTTCTACTCATCCTTGGCCTCATATAGGATAAAGCGTGTTCACATCCATAGGTATATCTTCTTGAGACTAAATAACTGTGTGCCCTTATATATGTCTGACATAGTACTTCCCTGTCTTTTTCAAGACATGAAGCAATTAAAAATAACACACAAATGGGTGGACAGATGAGACTTCTCATGGCCACAGGTGACCAGCCTAGGGGCCTTGGCTAGGTCTACCCCACAGGCAGGGTGTGCCCACATCATGGCACACTGGCACCCACAGTGCAGCACATGGCACACCAGCTGGGCAGCTCCAGCTAACCTTCCCTCTGTGACACCTTTCTGGGAAATTGACTTCTATGGGGATGGACAGCCTATAACAGAGCCGGTTTAAAAGGACAGAACGTATGTTTGCAACTGTGCTTACAGATCTAGGAGCCCTCTGGCTCCATGAGTTTTTGCTTTTCACACTTTTTAGCCTAATAGGAATCAACTACTTGCTGCTAAAGGGAAGCAAAAAGATTCTGGTATGGCAATGACATAAAGGGAGAGGACAGAAGCCCTTTAGTATCCTTGGAACATCAATGCCATTAAAAAAGAGAGAGAGAGAAAGAGAGAAGGAGGAGGGAAGGGGGATAACCTCGGGACCAGCACACAGCAGTTCTACCGCCATCTTAATGTCCTTGATGCGTGCAGATGGTGTGGAAGTGGCTGGCACCAGAACAGCCCATGAGAAGGAATGAGCAGCCAATGGAGATTTATGTGAGGAGAGTGAGATGGACAAGGTAAAATTGTCAGGAGGAGTTGTTAGAAAGTAAAATATATTGTGACAATTCCACTCCTGCCGTTCATCAATAAACTGACAGATCATTTAGTGTCAATTAGGAGTGATAGATGGACAAGTCCCCATGATCCTGGGCCAAAATTAATGGCTGGGAGGGAGAGGGTGATTGAAAATGACGGCTGACATTGAGAGCAAAGTCCTGAAAGTCCCTGAGGGGCCATTACTTGCCTCATTCCCTTGCAGATCAATGCAGGGACAAACCCAAAAACAGACACTTTGAGACAAAACTTAATCAAACTACCTTTCCTTCCTCTCTTTACCAAGTTGGCTTTCTCTCTTCAGCTCTATTCCCCATGGCGAAGTCAGTGACCCACCATAAGTGTCCTACCTCGGGCAACTTCAGAGCCAAGGACAGCTCCAAGATGGAATCTCTGGCATAGCTATGACTCTGACGCCAAGGGGAAGGGACTGGTAGTGATCCCAGGCCCCAGGCAATTCCTGAACTTGGCCCTTTCTGTGGCTCAAGGATGAGCAATGGAGCCCTGGCACCCAACATATCTAGCCAGTGAGGTGGCTGACACATGTTCTGTTCTCTATCCTGGGCAGTGTTATGCAAATAAAGCCAAGGTATCCCAGAAACTCATATTCCTTAGCTATGAGCTCCTCAATCAGATTCATAAACAGCCCTTCTACTTCTCACTGGTGACACTTTCCTCCTACCTTCTTTGCACAGGGATACCTAGCTTATTGAACAGAATCTACCCAACAGAGTTGGTGTAATGCACATATAAGGTGCTGCTACGGACTGAATATTTGTGTCTCCCCAAAATTCTTATGTTGAAATCCTAATCCCCAATGGGATGGTGGTTGGAGGTGGGACTTTCAGAGCTGATTAGGTTTAGATGAGATTATGAGGGTGGAGCCCTCATGATGGGGACAAGGAAGAGACATAAAATCTCACTCCTTACATGCACATACCAAGAAAAGACACTTAAGGACGTAACTAGGAAAATGGTCCTCACCAAGAACCCAACCACAATGGCACCCTGATCTCAGATTTCCAGCCTCCAGAATCATGAGAAATAAAGGTTTGTTGTTTAAACCTCCCCATATACGGTAACTTGTTATAGCAGCCAAATTAAGACAAGTATCTAGCACAATGCCATTGTTATTATCACCCAAAAAGAATTTAAGGTGAATACGCTATTTTCCGGGGTCAATTCTCTGCTGTAACTAGACTGACAATAAAGTTACTATCACTCTCACAACACCAGATCTTAAACCAAAATGCCTTCTTCATGATCCTGTTCTGACCATCAAAATTCATCCAGCTTGACTCCTATCTCCGCTATAAGACACTCCCTGACCATAATGATTACTCTCTCTTCTGATATCCCATCACCAGTGTTACTCATTCATTTGTTCCTCACTTACTATGTGCACCTTCTGCCAATATGCTCCTTTTGCCATTCCTGATTTTTGTGGATGAAAATGTCTCCTAAATTAGAATTTGAGCTCTTGCGGGACAGGAAGTATATCTTCCACTCTGGTACTCACTAGAGTATCCAGCAAATGGTAGGAGCTCATGTTTCCAACCTTAATGAGGTAGGTCCTCAAAGCTCGAAAGTTGCCTCTCTTACCCCTCATCAGCCTCTTTTTCTGTTTTAAATCTGCTCTACTTGACTTCAAGATGCCACTCTCCTTTGCCTCAACAATCTCAACAGTCAGTCTGTCTTCCCACTTTGAAGAATGGAAAAAAAAAGAAGCCAAACCAAAAGGAAATTCTCTAAAGTCCCCATTCCCCTCAACCCTCCTCAATAACTTACCCAGCCTTTCCAAGCTCCGTCTGTTTTGGAGGAAAACTATCCGCCCTACTTCCTCCTGTCCAAGGTCAATCAATCTCTCCTGGAAGGTCTTATTCTATCCCTCCAGTATCCTGCTACATCAGTTAACCCCCTACTTCATTTCTAATTACTCTTTCCTCGAATATTGCAGACATGATTCTTAATCTAGACTCTTCTTCCAAATACTGTTCCATCCCTTTCCTTTTTTCATAGTATCCTATATTACTGGCCACTTCCTCATGTCCCACTTCCTCTTCAGTCTACTGCAATCTGGCTGGGGCTCCAATGCAAATGACTGTAACCACTTTCTCAAAGGCCCCTTGTAACCTCCAAATAGCCAAATCCAATGATCTGTCCTTGTCTTCTCCTACTTTTGTAGATGACTCAAAGTGCATCTCTTTTTTGACCTCACTTTTAGACTCTTGAGCTATGGAAATTACCCACATGTCCCACCATCAGCTCCTAAATCAGGTCCCTCCTGCCTTCCCTCTCTTATAGCACCATGACCCAACCAGACACCTAAGTGGGGCTCCTTGCAGTGACCTTCAACTCCTCCCTCTGCCGCACATCCAACCACTGGTATTTCTATTAACTCTACCTCCAAAATGTCTCCACATCATCTTTCCTTTCCATCCTCACAACATGGCCCTGGTTTAGGCTCTTATCCCAACAGGTCTTCCAGCCTTTCAGCTCTCCACCTTCCACACCGAAAGTAAAGTGACCGTTTAAAAATACTGATCTGATCATTCATATGTTCAATAAATAGTCACCGAGTGCTTATTATGGACTAGGCACTGTGCAGGAGACTGGGGGTATGTAAATAAGAGAGTGTGTCTCCTCTCATAGAGCTTACATTGCAGCAGATAGAAAAAGAGAATATGTATGCATGCATGTGGATATGTCAGGTGGCAGTAAATAAAGCAGGCAATGGGGACCACAGAGCGATGAGGGGTGCTACTTTATGTAAAGTGAGGTAAGGTAGGACCTTGTAAGCCATGGTAAGGACTTTGGGTTTTACTTTGACTGGTTGGCATGCTACTGCAGGGTTCTGAGTATACAAGTAAAAGGTTTGCACTGATGTTTTAAAAGAGTCACTCTGGTTATGCAGAGATAACACAGAGGGAGCCTCGTCAGGAAGTTCTCACTTGAGCCAGTGCAAGAAATGATGGTGGCTGCAGCCAGGTGCTGGCAGTTCAGACAACAGATGTATTTCAACAGTAGACCTAACAGGGTTTGCTGGCAGACTGAATAGGGTGATATAAAGAGAGGAGGCCAGGATAATTCCAAAGTTTACAATCTGAGCAATTAGGAAGATAAGAGTCACCACTTACCGAGATCTAGGGATGACTTTGGAGGCACGATTAGGGGAGGGGGTAGAAGGGGTTGAAATTAGAAGACTAATTTGGATGTGTCAGGTTTGTGTTGCATATTCCAGTTGAAAACATCAAGCAGGCAAATGGCTGTCCAGGAGGAGAACTGGGCTGGAAATATAAACATAAATTCTGGAGTCATCACTGCGTAGACGATAGTCAAACCTGAGACTGGGTTGAGATCATGCAGAAAGTGAGTGTTGACAGAGAAGAGAGAAGGTTAGAGGAAGAGCCCTGGGCACTCCAACATTTCGAGGGGTCAGAACCAGGCCACAGACTGAAAAGCCAAGCAAGTGAATACCTCAGAAAGTAACAGGTGACAAGGAAAAGCTTCTTTCTCCAAGAGGAAATGGATTTGATCTGGAAAAATCTTTAATATTTTCACTGAGGAATGAATACTTGTGATAATCTTTTGTTCTCTAAGAAGCAGACAGGATTTGTCTTATTTTCTTATTTCAAAATAAATTCCAGATATGACAAGTACTAAAATCCCCTAATAATTTAGGAAAACAAAGCTCCTCCATAAGATTCACATTAGTAGATGAGACCTGCATTTCTGCGTCACCTTCTTGTTTTCGCTTAACACTAAAAATGATTGTTATGGTCTATAAGTAAAACAGCATGCTACATAATAGCCTAGGAATAGAGACACCACTGGCACAGAATAACGCATCCAAAAGCAGACTCGGGTAAGTACAAAGATTTAGAATACGATAAAGGTGGCTTCTCAAATCACTAGAGAAAGATGGATTTTTAAATAAGTGGTGCTGGGACAATAGCCATTTAGAAAAAAGTAAAACCATACACCAAAATAAATTCCACGTGGATCAGCAATCTCAATTTTTAAAATGAAAGGGTGTGGCTGTATTCCAATAAAACTTTATAAAAATAGGCAGCTGGCCTGTGGGCCATAGTTCACTGACACCTAGGATATAGAAACAAAGGAGGAGAAATATAAAAACTTATATATACATATATAATTTATATATGTATATTATATAAATTATATAATTTTTATGTATGTATATATAATTATATATATATACACATATGTTTACTTTTCCAAAAAGAAGTATAGGAAAGATAAACCAGAAACTAATAAAGAAACTGCCTATATGGGATGGACGGGAATGAGGTGGAGAGGATGATAAGGATGGGAGTGAGACATCACTGAATACATCTTTCTATACAATTTTAACTATTGATTGGTGTAAATGTTCTACATATTCAAAAGTAAATTGAATAAAAAGGATTTTTAAAAACCTTAAAATTGAACACAGACAGAAACAAGTGAATGTAATTGTGTATTAAATTGATATCTTAACCTGTATGAGAAATAATTCAAATAACTTCCGAAAACAGTATCCTGAACCTTAGTGTGATATATTCTAAGGACAAAAAGAACCACAAAGAAATCTTGAGTTTTACTTAGGAAGTTTGTTTTTGATAATGACATTAGTATAGTAACTGTAAAACTACTTTATGTGTGTTACAGGATAGAGCGTATTTTTTAAAATGTGTTTCCTAGTTCTACCTACTAAAAGAGCCTAGAAGCAAAGATATCCAATAGCAATGGGCAGTGTGTATATAGACCGTGAATTCTATAACTATTCTCCACCAAAAGGACCCAGGAGTCCTTGGAGAAGTAGCTGACTCCTGGACTAAACATGGAAAATACAAATTTATTCTGGAATATCTTGCTGCGTTGAAAAGCAAGCACGTACTCTAATACTAATAAAGCACAAAAGCATAAGAGCCATCTCAAAGTTCTCCCTGGCCAAACATGGGACAATCTGAGCACTAATAATCATTAGTATTATAGAAAAAAAAACTGTGATGATGGAAATGAATTATAACACAATGAACAATACAAATCCATGAGTCCAGCTGGGTGCAATAGTTCATGGCTATAATCTCAGCACTTGGGGAGGCCAAAGTAGGACGATTGCCAGGAGTTTGAGACCAGCCTCAGCAACACAGTGAGACCACAGCTCTACAAAAATAAGAATTTAAAAAAATTAGCCAGGCATTGTGGTGCATGCCTGCAGTCCTAGCTACTGGGGAGGCTGAAGCAGGAGAATCACTTGAGCCCAGGAGTCTGGGTTACAGTGAACTATGATTGCACCACTGCACTCCAGCCTGGGCAACAGAGAAAGATCCTGTCTCAAATAAAATAAAATAAAATAAAATAAAATAAAATAAAATAAAATAAAAATAAAAATAAAAAAAGTACAAAAATAGGCACAGAGGCCAATGGAACAGAACAGAATATCTAGAACTAGAACAGCATACCTTCAACCAACCAATCTGTGGCAAAGTCAACAAAAATAAGCAACAGGGAAAGGACATCCTATTCAATAAATGGTGCTGGGAAAACTAGCTAACCATATGTAAAAGAATGAAACTGGACCCCTTCCTATCACTATATAAGAAAAATTAACTCAAGATGGATCAACGACTTAAATGTAAGATCTCGAACTATAAAAATCCTAGAAGAAAGCCTAGGAAATATCCTTCTGGATGTCAGCTTTGGCAAAGAATTTATAACCAAGTCCTCAAAAGCAACTGTGACAAAAGGAAAAATTGACAAGTGGGATCTAATTAAATTAACAAGCTTCTGCACAGCAAGAGAAACTATCAACAGGGTAAACAAATAACCTAAGAATGGGAGAAAATTTTTGCAAACTATGCATCTGACAAAGGACTAATATCCAAAATCTATAAGGAAGTTAAACAAATCAACAAGAAAAAAATAACCCCATTAAAAAGTGGGCAAAGGCCATGAACAGACACTTCTCAAAAGAAGACATACAAGCAGCCAACAAACATATGAATAAATGCTTAACATCACTATCAGAGAAATGCAAATTGAAGCCACAATGAGATACCATCTCATACCTGTCAGAATGGCTATTGTTAAAAAGTCAAAAAATAACAGATGTTGGTGAGGCTTCTGAAAAAAAGGAATGCTTACACACTGTTGGTGGGAATGTAAATTAGTTTAGCCACTGTGGAAAGCAGTTTGGAGATTTCTCAAAGAACTGAAAATAGAACTACCATTTGACCCGGCAATCCCATCACTGGGTGGTATATACATACCCAAAGGAAAATAAATCATTCTATCAAAAAGACACTTGCAAACGTATATTCATTGTAGCACTGTTCACAAGAGGAAAGACATGGAATCAAACTAGGTGTCCATCAATGGTGGACTGGATGAAGAAAATGTGATATATATATATACCATAGAATACTATGCAACCATTTAAAAGAATGAAATCAAATCCTTTGCAGCAATATGGATATAGCTGGAGGCCATTATCCTAAGCAAACAAATGCAGAAACAGAAAACCAAATATTAGAGGTCTCACTTATAAGTAGGAGCTAAATCCTGGGCACATATAGACATAGAGGAGGGAACAACAGACAATGGGGACTCCAAAAGGGGTTGCGGGCGAGGACTGAAAAGCTTCCTATTGGGTACTGTGCTCACTGTCTGAGTGACAGGATCAATAGAAGCTCAAACCTCAGCATCATGCAACATACCCCTGTAACAAACCTGCGCATATATCTCCTGAATCTAAAATAAAACAGATTTTTTTAAAATCCATGAGTCCATGATTTTAAAGACAGAAAGCAATAGAAAAAGAAAAAGGAGAGAGAGTAAATTCTTCTTTATAGGAAAACTCCAAGCAATTAATATAGAATGGTAGAATTAGAGAGTTAAAATTTTGCAATCCCTGATATAATAACTGATTCAGGCAAGGATCCATTAATGGACGCTAAAACCAGGTGAAAGACTGTGGGTGAACAGGATTCAAAGCGGTACCCCAATTACTAATTATTTATAAAGGAAAAAAAGAACCTTTGCAATGGAGAGATCTAGTGGTCACCACCTAGACCAAGTGATAAAACTTTGTAATGCCAACCAAGGGATCAGCTGATGTCACATGCCTCCTAATTTGATAAGCTAAGGACACATGATCACCTGTTCTGGTCAACAACCTTTAACTTGAATCTTATCATGAAGAATCAGTTAGAGAAACCCAGAATGTGAGACATTCTACAACACAACTGGCCTGGATTCCTCAAAATAGTCAATGTCTTGGTGGGGAATGGGGAAAGGTGAGGACTAGTTTACATCAAGAGAGACTAAAAAGACAACTACGAAACACAATATTTGAGCTGATTGGATCCTGGAGTTATAAAAGACATCTGGGGGAACAACAAAGGGGAATATTCAAATATAAACTATATATTAAATATTATTAAACCACTATGAAATGTCTTAGGTATGAGTGACTGAGTGATACTGTGATACTGTAGAGAATGTCATGAATCTTTTTTTTTTTTTTTTTTGAGACAGTCTCACTCTGTTGCCCAGGCTGGAGCGCAGTGGCACAATCTCGGCTCACTGCAAGCTCCACTTCCCGGGTTCACACCATTCTCCTGCCTCAGCCTCCCGAGTAGCTGGGACTACAGGCACCCGCCACCACACCTAGCTAATTTTTTGCATTTTTAGTAGAGACGGGGTTTCACTGTGTTAGCCAGGATGGTCTCGATCTCCTGACCTCGTGATCCACCCGCCTCGGCCTCCCAAAGTGCGTGAGCCACTGCGCCCGGCCGAGAATGTCATTAATCTTGAGAGATGCATGCTAAAGTATTTAGGGGTGAAATGTCATGACATCTACAACTTATTTTCAGGTTTGGGAAAAAGTGTGTGTGTGGGGGGTGTTGGGGAAGGGGGAGGGAGAAAAAAGTGGGAGGAGAGGGTGGAAAAAATTGGAAGTAAATATTTTTAATAATGGTATTTTGGTTTTTTTTAATTTAACTTTTAAGTTCAGGTGTACATGTGCAGGTTTGTTATACAGGTAAACTTGTGTCACAGGGGTTTGTTGTACAAATTATTTCATCACCCTGACATTAAGCCTAGTACCCAGTAGTTATTTTTCCTGATCCTTTCCGACCTCCCACCCTCCACCTTTCAAAAGGCCCCAATGTGTGTTGTTCTCCTCTATGTGTCCATGGGTTCTCATCATTTAGCTTCCACTTATAAGTGAGAACATACAGTGTTTGGTTTTCTGTTCCTACATTAGTTTGCTAAGGATAGTGGCCTGCAGCTCCATCCATGTTCCTGCAAAGGACATGATCTTGTTCTTTTTTTTGGCTACATACTATTCCATGGTGTATATGTACAACATTTTCTTTACCCAGTCTACCATTGATGAACATTAAGGTTGATTCCATGTCTTTGCTATTGCAAATAGTGCTGCAATGAACATACACATACATGTATCTTTATAATAAAATGATATATTATTTTGGGTATATACCCAGTAATGGGATTGCTGGGTGAAATGGTATTTCTGTCTCTAGGTCTTTGAAGAATCACCACACTGTCTTCCACAATGACTGAACTAATTTACACTCACGCTAACACTGTATAATCGTTCCTTTTTCTCCGCAACCTCACCAGCATCTGTTATTTTTTGACTTTTTTTTTTTTTTTTTTTGAGTTTCACTCTTGTTGCCCAGGCTGGAGTGCAATGGCACAATCTCAGCTCACTGCAACCTCTGCCTCCCAGGTTCAAGCAATTCTACTGCCTTGGTCTCCTGAGTAGCTGGGATTACAGACACGTGCCACCATGCCCCACTAATTTCGTATTTTTAGTAGAGATGGGGATTCTCCATGTCGGTCAGGCTGGTCTCAAACTCCCGACCTCAGGTGATTCACCCACCTTGGCCTCCCAAAGTGCTGGGATTACAGGCGTGAGCCACCACACCTGGCCGTATTTTTTGACTTTTTAATAACTGCCATTCTGACTGGTGCAAGATGGTATCTCATTGTGGTTTTGATTTGCATTTCTCTAATGATCAGTGATGTTGAGCTTGTTGGCTGCATGTATGTCTTTCTTTTACAAAGTGTTTGTTCATCCTTTGCCCATTTTTTAGTGGGATTTTTTTTTCTTGTAAATTTAAGTTCTTTATAGATGCTAGATACTACACTTTTGTCAGATGCATAGTTTGCAAAAGTTTTCTCCCATTCTCTAGGTTGTCTGCTCACTCTGTTGACAGTTTCCTTTGCTGTGCAGAAGTGCTTTACTTTAATTAGATCCCATTTGTCAATTTTTGCTTTTGTTACGATTGCTTTTGGTGTCTTCATCATGAAATCTTTGCCCAATCCTATGTCCAGAATGGTATTGCCTAGGTTGTCTTCCAGAGTTTTTATATTTTTGGGTTTTACATTTAAGTCTTTTATCCATATTGAGTTAATTTTTGTACATAGTGTAAAGAAAGGGTCCAGTTTCAATCTTCTGCTTATGACTAGCCAGTTATCTCAACACCATTTATTGAATAAGGAATCCTTCCCCCATTGCTTGTTTTTGTCAGGTTTGAAGATAGTTGCAGGTATATGGTCTTATTTCTGGGTTCTCTATTCTGTTCTATTGGTCTATGTGTCTCTTTTTGTACCAGTACCATGCCGTTTTGGTTACTGTAGCCCTGTAGTATAGTTTGAAGTTGGGTAGTGTGATGCCTCCAGGTTTTTTTGTTTTTGTTTTAGTTTGCTTAGGATTGCCTTGGCTATTTGGGCCCTTTTTTGTTCCATATAAATTTTAAAATAGTTTTTTCTAGTTCTGTGAAGAATGTCAATGGTAGTTTAATAGAAATAGCGTTGAATCTATAAGTTGCTTTTGCCTGTATGGTCATTTTAACAATATTGAGTCTTCATGAATGGACTCAATATTGAGTCCATGAAAATGGACTATTCCTCCATTTGTTTGTATCATCTCTGACTTCTTTGAAAAGTGTTTTGTAGTTCTCCTCATAGAGATCTTTCAAGATATGCCATTTTGAAGGCAACAACTGCTCAAGGAAATTCTAAACTAGAATAATGACTATTCTTTGAGAAACTATTCCTGTGTATATCTTAAGTAGTTAAATTCGATCACTGGCCATCCCACTGGTATATATATTTTTTTTATCTTTCATCTAAGACTTGGTGCAAGAGATTAAGGAATGAAATGATTTGTAATCCAGTCTTTAGAACTGGACTCTGAACTAAAATAAAAGACATTAAGCACTTGCTCCTTCTGACTTACAGGCATCTATGACTCCACTTATTTCATCCATAAAATGAGACCAAAGGTAAAGGCTAGCAAAATGTCTCAGTCTTATTATCATATTCTCTGTCAGGCTGGCCTAGAATAACTATATTTAAGCAATGAATCAAACTTCAAGAATCACAAAGACTAACTATAATCAAAGCCTGTTTAAAGCATCTGGAAGGTGCTGACAGCTACAGAGGCTAACAAATGTGGCTGAAGGTGACAGCCAGCACCATCCTACTATAGATGCCATTTACAGAACACGTGTTACCTAACACTTTGTTTTAGAACCATAAAACTCAGAGAGACCTGCCTTATTACTTTACTCCTTATGCACTGTTGTTATTCATAACTTAATTGCAGCAACAAGCTATGTACTAGCTTTATGCTGAGTACTCTTCCTATGTGTTCAAGACTCAGAACAATTCTTTGCAATAGGCGTTATTATTGCCACTTTACAGGGTTAAGTAACTTCCCCAGGTTTACATAGCCAGTTAAATGCTGAAATCTGAATTCAAACCCTGGTATGTCTGAATCAGACACCCATGGTTTTAATCTTATTGTGATGTTGCTTCCTGTAAGTAAAACAAGAGATGACTTAATTACCACACCTTAGCATGAAAATTCTGCCAGTTTAAGCATGGAAGAAATGCGAGAGAGTATGTCGTAGGAAGAAGTCTGAGGAATACTTTCTCCTTATTTAAAACAAGGTAATTCTGAAACCATCCCTGAGATGTGGATGCTTATCCTGGATGGCCGAAGATCTCACAGAGATTTCTGTTCTAGGTCATGTGCATTCCCAGATGCTGGCAGAAATCCAAGGGGATATCAATCATTGATTATGTCTAATTCAAACTTGTCCAACTTGCCTTATTTTGTTGTTGTTCTGCTTTGTTTTATTTTAGGCTTTTAGCAGCCTGAACCCGTAGTTTTTAGTTTCTGTCTCTAGTGATAAGCAGAAAAGAGGAATGAAGAAGGGGTTTTACTGGCCCAACCAGAAACAGAAACTAAGAATCTGTGTCTGTATTCTCTCTCTTGAACACCCCTGGCTAATTCTTAACATCATAAGGTTTAAAAAATACTTCTGATACTACAGCTTTGGAAAGCTGACATTCCTATGCTTAAGGCTTTAATGTAGTTCACAATTAAAGAAGATTCTTCATAATCAAAATAACCATTGCTTTTCTTGATCTGGAATTACTTCTCCCAAACCGACCCTTCATATGAAGCATTTATGGCACCATAAAGATCCCAAAGCTCCTGCAACTCACAAACATCACCACCTGCCAGAATGCCTGTGAGAAGAATATGGTCAAAGCCTATCTATGAGGACAGAATGGGGATAAGAAACAGTCATCATCATCATGATAATAGCCAACATCTACAAGTGCTTCCTAAATGCATCTCTCTTCTAAATATTTTACACATACGAATTCATTTAATCCTCACAATGATCCTTTCAAGTAAGAACTATTTTTAACCCCATTGTAGAGATACAGAAATGGAGACCAGAGATATTAAATTACTTGCTTGGGGTCTCTGAGATAATAAATGGCACAGTTAGGATTCAAAGCCAGGCAGCTGGCTCCAGTACCTGCGGCTGTCACCACACTCTGCCGCCCCTCAATATGGAACCACAGGGATCAGCATCTAGTCTAAGCTGTGGAAAGGCTGGGAGGGCTAAACACAACAGCAACATTCCTGTTACATATGTAATTTCCTTCAGTCTTTGAATCACCCTGTAGGGATCATCAATGTGTCCATCCAGGTGCTCAGCCATGGTAAACATCTTACCCAACATCATCCAGCTCAGAGAGAATGGCATCTGCCATCTACAGCCCCACACTGAACACTATGCAGTTTATAAAGTGCTGCTACATGCACTGTGACATCAGGTTTCCCAGCCTTCCCAGGAGCTCTGGAGAGGCTGATGAGATAATGTCAGATGGTTATGGTATAAATATTCATGCCAGCTTACAGTAAACACAAGATACCAACTAGGCAGGGTGATGGGACATCTGTATTGTTCCCCTTTATGAATGATGACTGATATATGTCAGGGGAGGACATGCCGCACAGTTCATCAGCAGTTACCAACAGGCAATTCCATTATGTTTTGGAAATTAAGAAGAACACAGAATGCTACAACATGGATAAACTTTGAAAACATTATGACAAGTGAGAGAAGCCAGCCATAAAGGACCACATAATGTAGATTGTATTTACATGAAATGTCCAGAATATGCAAATCAGAGAGAGAGAAAGTTGACTGGTAACCACCTAGATCTAGAGAGGTTGGGGGGACATGGGAAGTGGCTGCTAATAGATACAGGGTTTCTTTTGGTGGGGAGGTGATGAAAATGTTGTAAAATTGATTGTGTTAATGGTTGCACAACTCTGTGAATATATTAAGAATGATTAAATTGTGCATTTTAAGTGGGTGAATTGTATGGTATATAAATTTTTTCTCAATAAAGCTATTGTAAAAAATAAAACAACACAGGAGCAAAGTCCCCCCAACCGTGTGCACCCCCACCCATACTCTTATGAGCTGCTGGTACTCACTTCGAAGCCTTCACGGAATCACCTGCCCAGCCTCCCTGTCGGCAGCGAGGTAATTTAGCAGAGGAAGTCTACAAGGAAAGAGAAGTCAAAAGAACACATTCACTCAACATTTGCATTTATTTTATTTTTTATTTTCTATTTTTTGAGATGAAATCTCACTCTGTCACCCAGGCTGGAGTGCAGTGGTGCGACCTCAGCTCACTGGAACCTCCGCCTCCTGGGTTCAAGCGATTCTCCTGCCTTAGCCTCCTGAGTAGCTGGGATTATAGGCGCCCACCACCACGCACAGCTAATTTTTGTATTTTTAGTAGAGACAGGGTTTCACCATGTTGGCCAGGCTGGTCTCAAACTCCTGACCTCAAGTGATCCGCCCACCTGGGCCTCCCAAAGTGCTGGGATTACAGGCGTGAGCCACCGCGCCCAACCAACATTTGTGTTTAAACACCACAATGGCTGAGGGTAAGGTCACCTACACCAATCAATATTCAGCCTACCTTTTGAATAAAAATACAGTAACCTTTGTAATTTACTATGAAAATCTGGGTTCCTTCATACCCTCCCGGTGAGTCATAAATTGGCACCATGTTTCTGGAGGGCTATTTGGTAAAGTTTATTGAAAGCCTTAAAAATGCTCATACTTTTTAACCTAGCAATTCTAATCCTAGAAATTGATCCCAAGGGAAAAATCAGAGAGGAATATAATGTTATTTTTGAGTAGTGAATAGCTAGAAACAACCAAAATTGCTAGCAATAAGGAATTAAGTAAATGGTAAAATACACATGAAAATACTATGCAAATAACAAAAAGCCATGTTATAAGAAAACCCAATGATATAAGAAAGTTTGATACATTTTAAGTTTCAAAAACATGTTACCAAACAGTAAGTATATGCTTTTGATGCATTTTTTGAAATGATTATCAACATATACTATTTAGTGTTAATGAGTTATATGTACATGACTGACAGGGGACTCCATTATAGGCAATTTTAATTTTCCTTTCCTCTTCTGCTTTTTATAAACCGAAAAGTAATAAAATAAAGATATAAGAGTGAGACTTGCTTAGAAGAGATAAACTAAATTGGTGGGTGGATTAAAAATCTACTCAAGAGGCCTACACCAACCCCTGCCACTGCTGCCAGTGACCGAGTACAGTGTCTAAGAGGCTTGGGGATTGACTTGCCTCCAACCCCCACCACCACTAGCACCCATGTATGCCATCTAGGGGCCTGAGGATAGGCTGACCCCACCCACCACCACCACTGCCAGCACACACATGACCCAGGGGCATAGGATGGATCCACCCTGCCCACCACCACTGGTGCACATTTTCTGGGGTCTAAAGGACCGTTCTGCCCTGTCTGCCACCCATGCATAGTCTGCGAGCCTGGGAATAGGCCTACCCTGCCTGCCACCAGTGTCCATGTATGTCTCCCAAAAGCCTGATGGCCAGTCTACCCAGCTTGCAGCCACCACCCACCCACATGCACTACCTGGGGACTGGCTCACCTGGCCCACCACTGCCACCCCCGGCACCTGAGCAAGGCACTGGAGGCCTAAGGACTGACCTGCCCAGATCCACCATCACCAGAACCCATGTACACCACCTGGGGGGCCCAGGGACTAGCATACCTGGCTTGCCACCACTACCACTGGTGCCTAAGGACCAGCCCACTTGGTATCCCCATTTGCAATAAAGCCTTGTCACAGCCTCCAATAACAACTATAGCCTAAGCCACTAAAGAACCCATAGATACCCACTGATGCTGATTACAGCTGAAGATATATAAAAACTACATCACTGCACCCACCCAGAATCAAAGCCAAAGCACCCCACCCTACCAACACCATAGATACATCTATAGGGAAGTCTTTTCTTATGGAAGTCAATCCATAAGACTGGAAGATGCAACTATTACACCAGATACACAGATATCAATGTAAGAACACAGGAAACATGAAAAAGCAAGGAAACATGACACCTTTAAAGGAACACAATAATTCTCCAGTAACAGATCCCAATGAAAAGACAATCCATGAAATGGATAAAAAAGAATTCAAAACAATGATATTAAAGAAACTCAGTGAGGTATGAGAGAACACAGATAAAGAGTACAAAGAAGGCCGGGTGCGGTGGCTCATGCCTATAATCTCAGCACTTTGGGAGGCCAAGACGGGCAGATCACAAGGTCAGGAGATAGAGACCATCCTGGCCAACATGGTGAAACCCCATCTATACTAAAAATACAAAAATTAGCTGGGCGTGGTGGCGCATGCCTGTAATCCTAGCTACTCAGGAGGCTGAGGCAGGAGAATCACTTGAACCAGGAAGTCAGAGGTTGCAGTGAGCTGAGATTGCGCCACTATACTCCAGCCTGGCAACAGGGAGAGATTCCGTCTCCAAAAAAAAAAGAGTACAAACAAATCAGAAAAATGATTCATGATCTGAATGGGAAAGTCAATAAAGAGATAAACATCATAAAAAAGAACCAAATAGAAATCCTGGAACTGAAGAAGTCAATGAAAGAAAGAAAAAATACAATCAAGAGCTTCAATAATAAACTAGATCAAGCAGGAGAAAAAGAATTTCAGAACTTGAGGACAGGTCTTTTGAAATAACTCAGACAAAAAAGAAAAAAGAATAAAGGAAGCCTACTTGACATATGCAACACCATAAAGAAAACAAGTATTAAAATTTTTGAAGTCTCAGAAGAAGAGATGGGCAAAGGTATTGAAAACCTATTAATGCAATAATAGCTGAAAACTTCTCAAGTCTTGAAAGAGATATAGATATTCAGATACAGGAAGCTTGAAGGTCTCAAAATAGATTCACCTCAAAAAGATCTTCTCCAAGGCACATTATAATCAAAATGTCAAGTCAAAGACAAAGATAAAATTCAAAAAAACAACAGGAGGAAAGTGTCAAGTCACATAAAAGGGAATTCCCAGCAGAAACCTTACGGGCCAGGAAAGTTTGGGATGATATATTCAAAGTGCTGAAAGGGAAAAAAAAAAAGGCAGCTATGATTACTATACCCAGCAAAGCTATTATTCAAAAATGAAGGAGAAATAAAGTCCTTCCCAGATAAGCAAAACCAGAGGGAATTCATCACCACTGACAAGCCTTTCAATAAATTATTAAGGGAGTCCTACATATGGAAGTGAAAGAACAATATATACCATCATGAAAACACAAGACAGTATAAAACTCACTAGTAGAACAGATACACAAATGGGAAAGAGAAAGAATTCAAACATTACCACTTCAGAAAACCATCAAACTGCAATGATAAAACTTAAAAGAGGAAGTAAGGAAAAAAGGATATATAAAACAACCAGAAAACAATTAATAAAATGGCAGAAATAAGTCCTTAGCCATCAATAATAACCTTGAATGTAAATGGATTAAACTCCTCACTAAACTGGCTGGCTAAATTAAAAAGCATCACTATTTGCTGCCTATAAGAAACTTACTTCACTTATAAAGACACACATAGACTAAAAGTGAAGGGATGGAAAAAAATTCCTGCAAATAAGAACCCAAAGCAAGCAGGAGAAGCTATACTTACATGAGATAACACAGACTTTAAGTCAAAAACTGTAAAGAAGGTCATTCTATAATGATAAGGGGATCAATATAACAGTTCTAAATATATATGTACCCAACACTGGAGCCTCCAGATAATAAAAAGCAAATATTATTAGATCTAAATAGACTCCAATACAATAATAGTTGGTGACTTCAACATCCAACTGTCAGCACTGGAGAGATCATCTAGACAGAAAACCAATAAAGAAAACTGGGAATTTAAACTGCACTTTAAACCAAATGAAACTAACAGACATTTACTAAACATTTCATCCAATAGCCGCAGAACACACATTCTTCTCATCAGCACGTGGAACATTCTCCAGAATAGACCATATGTTAGGCCACAAAACAAATGTCAAGAAATTTTTAAAAACCAAAATCATATCAAGTATCTTTCAGATGACAATGGAATAAAACTAGAAATCAATAACAAGAGGAATTATGGAAACTGTACAAATACATAGAAATTAAACAACATGCTCCTGAACAACCACTGGATCAATGAAGAAATTAAGAAGAAAATTAAAAAATTTCTTGAAACAAATGAAAACAGAAACACAACATACAAAAACCTATGGGATACAGCAAAAGCAGAGCCAAGAGGGAAGTATAGCAATGAATACCTACATCAAAAAAAAAAAGGAAAGATTCTGAATGAACAAGCTAACAACACACCTCAGGGAACTAGAAATGCAGGAACCAGCTAAACCCCAAATCACTAGAAGGAAAGAAATAATAAAATCAGAGCAGAACTAAACAAAATAGAGACTTAAAAAAATACAAACGATCAATGAAACAAAAGATAGTTTTTTGAAAAGATAAACAAAATTAGTAAACTGCTAGCTAGACCAACCAAGAAAAAAGAGAGAAGACCCAAATAAATAAAATCATAAATGAGAAAAGAGACATTACAACTGATACCACAGAAATACAAAGGATCATAAGAGACTATTATGAACAAGTATATACTAATAAATTGGAAATCCTAGAGGAAATGGACAAATTCCTGGACACGTACAACCTACCAAGATTGAACCAGGAAGAAATAGAAAACCTGAACAGACCACTAACAAGTAATGAGATTGAATCAGTAATAAAAAGCCTCCCAACAAAGAAAAGCCCAAGACTAGATAGCTTTACTATTGAATTCTACCAAACTTAAAAGAACAAACACCAATTTTTCTCAGTCTATTCCCAAAAATTGAATGGGAGGAAATTCTTCCTAACTCATCTACAAAGCCAGTATTACTCTGACACCAAAACCAGATAAGGACACAACCACCACAACAACAACAACTATAGGCCAACATCCCTGATGAACATAGGATGCAAAAATCCCCAACAAAATACGAGCAAACTGAATCCAACAACACATCAAAAAGATAATACACCATGATCAACTGGGATTTATCCCAGGGATGCAAGGAGGGTTCAACACAAGCAAATCAATAAATCTGATATATAACACCAATAGAATGAGGGATAAAAACCACATTATCATCTTAATAGATGCAGAAAAAGCATTTGATATGATTGAACATCCCTTCATAATAAAAATTCTCAGCAAATCAGGCACAGAAGGAACAAATCAGTCCTCAACTTAATAAAGGCCACATACGACAAACCCACAGCTAACATCGTACTTAATGGAGAAAAGCTGAACATTTTTCCTCTAAGAACTGGAACAAGACAAGGATGTCCACTTTCACCACTTTTATTTAACATAGTCCTGGAAGTTCTAGCCAGAGTAATCAGTCAAGAGAAAGAAATAAAACTCTTCCAAATTAGACAGGAAGTGAAATTGTCCCTCTTTGCAGATGATATGATCTTATAAATACAAAAACCTAAAGATTGCATCAAAAAATTCTTAGAATGAATAAATGAATTCAGTGAAGTTGCAGGATACGAAATCAACACACAAAAATCAGTAGTGTTTTTACACACCAATAACAAACTAGTTGAAAAATAAATCAGGAAAGCAATCCCATTTATAATAGCTACAAAAAAAATACTTAGGAATACATTTATCCAAGAAGGTGAAAGACTTCTACAACGAAAATTACAGAACACTAACGAAAGAAATTGAAGAAGACATAAACAAATAGACATCCCATGCTTATGGATCAGAAGAATTAATATTGTTAGAATGACTGTACTACCCAAAGGAATCTACAGGTTCAATACAATTCTATCAAAATACCCACGATATTCTTCACAGAAACAGAAAAAACAACCCTAAAATTTATATGGGACCACAAAAGGGCCTGAATAGCCAATGCAACATTGGGCAAAAAGAACAAAGATGGAGGCATCACACTATTTGACTTCAAAATATATAATACTACAAAGCTATAGTAACCAAAACAGCATAATATTGGTATAAAAACAAATAGATCAAAGGAAGAGAATAGAAAACCAAGGAATAAATCCATGTATTTCTAGCCAAACGATTTTTGAAAACAACACCTACAACATATTAGGGAAAGAACAGTCTCCTCAATAAGTGGTGCTGGGAAAACCGGATTTCCATACACAGAAGAATAAAACCAGAGCCCCCATCTCTCACCATATACAAAAATCAAATCAAAATGGATTAAAGATTTAAATGTAAGACCTGACAGTATAAAAACTACTAAAAGAAACCTTCTGCACAGCAAATGAAACAATTAACACAGTGTAAGGATAAACTATAGGAGAAGATATCTGCAAACTATTTATCCAACAAGAAACGAGCATCCAGAATATGCAAGAAACTCAAACAATTCAATAGCAAAAAACCCAAAAAAGTCCCATTAAAAAGCAGGCAAAGGATCTGAAAAGAATCTCAAAAGATGACACACAAATGGCCAACTATATGAAAAAATGTTCTACATCACTGAGCATCAGAGAGATGCAAATCCAAAACCACACTGAGATATCATCTTACCCCAGTTAAAATGGCTCCTTTGAGCCTGGACTGAACTGTCACTTTACTAACGGATATCAAATGGTTAATAGCATTCCCTAAGAGTCTAAAACCCAAAATATCAGCTTTATCTTGTTTAACCACAAACCCAAGGAAGCCATGGCTATTGGGTGAAAATCCTTTCTGCCAAGAGGTAACACAAAGCCACATTTCCTCTCATTTTCTTCCCATTATAAAATGGTACCCGCAGCTCCAAAACAAAGCGATCACCAGCTAAAAGTCACTCCTCCAAAGCCAATACAGTTTAACACCTACTTCTAAAATCAAAGGATTTTTTTCACTAATAACTGAAGCCATTAGGAATTGATATAGTATTATAAAAACTGTATAAGCTACTTTTCATTTCCTCCACCCCAACATTGAGATCATTCAGAAAAGTAAAAAATTGCAAAGAAATCCCCTGAGCAACATGAGTCAGGAGCTATGGTAGTTAGCTTGCTTCCCACTGGCGAACCTCAGGAGAGAGCACTGAAGCAGAGGGGAGAGGAGGAGGGACAGGCAGGCTTAGCTCTCTGCAAAGTAGGCTTGGGCATTTAGAGGGAAATGCCTATCTCCTGAGGGAAAGTCCTTACATACATGATTTAGTTCTCTGAGTCCAAGGATTAGCAATATTTTTGTAAACACCCCCTAATATGAGTCTTGTTAGGGGCACACACAAATACCCTGTCTGGATGAGACGGACTTAATTAATAACTATTACCAAGTTATATGCTCTTCCCCAGAAATCAACCTTGTTACCTATGTGGGGAACTCGGCACTGGTCCCATGTGCACTAGGTGCAATAGAAAAAGTAGAAGATGTCATCCCTGTCCCAAATGTTCCATGAGGCCAAGAACACGCAGAGTTCAGTGTATCAGGCCTGTACGAAATCCACGTAATTGGATGTCAGGCTTAATCTGAAACTCAAAAGGCCACAATGGAAGTGAGAAGTAGGCGTCAGTGATGGAGACACAGAATTGTTCCAGGAAGAGGCTGCATCCAGGGTCCAAAGGTGAAGCTGAAGAATCCCTCAGCCATGGGGCACTTCCACCAAAATTTGCAGTTTTCTTGCCATCTTGGTGGTTTTCACTGGGGCATTATTAAGGCTGCTCTGATAAGCATGCATAAGGCTTACAATATATGTCTAAAAGCTAAACAGAATTGTACACACTCAGGAAGTGCTGAGGAGAAGGAGAGGTCAAGGAAGTTTATGGGCAAAGTGGGGCTTGTCCTGGATTGGAAATGTAAAGAAAAAAGCATTCCAGAAGCAACCAGATCCAAGGGTGTAGTGATACTGGGGATGGTATATAACTCTCCTGTAGCAAAATTTTGTTACTTGACCATTATATTTTAAGGGTCCCCGGGAAATGGCTTTGGGAGTTTGAGGCCCTCAGCATTCATTACTCTACAATGCAGGCCTTAAGTGGAAGCTGATGCAACTTGATCATAATGTGGCAGTTTGAAATTAAGTACAAACAATCTGAAATGTAAGCAGATGACTGGCTTGTAACAATATGGTTTTTTTAGAACATCTTAAATTTTTAATCCTTTCTTTATAGGCTACCTAGACTACTTTGGACTAAGAAAACTATGGAAAATTAGTAAGTGCCACAAGCGAATGCCAGGTGGTAGCACATGTCAATTTTCCACAGAGTCCTGAATGCACTGCTTGGGGTCTCTGCTCATACTTGCTGGAATCAACTGCAGTAGATTTTAGTCCATGGGTCGCTTTTCCTCATATTTCTTTGTAAACTCTTTAGCATTCTTATAGAATTTTTTACAGTCCTTAGAGTACTCTTCAGCTAGGTCAGCCCGAAATGGGTGCTCGGGCTGGGGGTTGTTCACAAGTGCTATGACAGCCTGGATTACTTGGTCAGTTTTGGTTGCTGGCTTCCAGTTTTCAGCACTAATTACTTGCAGACAGACTTGCTCCTTTTTGTCATTGTTTGGGTGATAAATCTTTGTTTTGTTTTAACTGTGGTCTTCAGTGGTTTAAATGGGTACTCTGCTGGAAATCTGATCTCCATTCTGAAGGCCCCCTTATCATATGGAGGGTTGTCAGGAACAATTAGCCCTTGCCAAGTCAAGAATTAGTTTCCTCAAACCTGGATGTTACGAAGTTTTTCATTCCACATTTGCGGATTTCTTCAAGCTCCTTCATCAGCCTTCTGCTGGCTGCCATTTTGGATTTGTTGCTGCTCCTTTCCCCAGCAATATGATTTTAAAGGTCTAGTTGGTTTCTTTTGCATAGACAGTCCAGTCCCTGAATACTTGGCTGCTCTCCCTAAGAGGTTTCATGACACCTAGACACCTAGTTATCCGCATTTCAAAAAACGGCTGTCTCCCCAGGGCAATCTGAAACACAGGACGCACACCTAGGCCAGCCACTGCTGTTGCTCGTTTTATGACCAGCTGCCTGGACTGTTGGCCTTCCCTTTCCGGAGGTGACAGATCAGATGCTAGGGAACCTATGGGGGTGCGAACGCCCTCACCAGCTCAACTGTCAAAGCTCCAGTCCCTGCCTGGACTGATGAGAAATTAAAGCCCTTTATTCACACATCTTTCCATTTGGACCAGGGGTCCTTCCCACAGAGCAGAGGAAGACACAAATGCATGATTTATTTTGTTCTTCAAATGTTATGAGTCTGAGTTCTCTACCTAATGGCCTACTCATTTACAGGAAGAAGAATTTACTCCTGCTCCATCACTGAAGCTAAAAACTTAATCTTCAGGCAGGCTAAGACAGTCGTGGCATTTTTTTCCTAAAGCCCATCAACTCAAGAGTCCTCCTTGACCAAGCACTTGGGAAGACATCTGTTTGAGTTGGCATTTTAGAAGAACCTATTTTCTATCCCTGTGTCAAGGAGAAGAGGAAGAAACTATATGGAAGAGAAGGATTAGAGCTCAAACAAACTTAAAAGCCAGAAAGAAGAGGAGGCCTGATCCTAGAATTCAAAAGTCCTGGTTTATTCTTTAAATTACTCTCCTGAAATTCAGAGGCACAGCCCCAAGACAACAGCTGGACAAATGATTTCCAATTTTGGCTGACTTACTGCCAGGTAACATTCCCTAAACTTGTTTTAAAAAAAGAAAGAGTCTTAAAATATGTAACACCAAGAGGGACAGAAATAGGAACAAGTGACGGTAGTCCTCAGGCAGTGCATCTCTTGTGTTCTCTCTTAAAAGCTGGAGTCACGTCTCCGAGTGTGGGAAATGAGCACAGCCTGCTGGGGCTGCCGCCTGATGGACGGAGGGGGCAGGACCCTGCATAGCTCCTGAAAAGCAGCAAAAATGTGTTCTCTCCAAAAATAAACAGGGGGCAGGAATGACTGTGAGTAAAGAGTTGGAAGCACGTGACTGGCGGTTGCAGTCCTGAAATACCAGCTTTCTACAAAAAGGAGCCTGTGAGAGGCAGAGAGCGGGAATTTCAGGAAATGGCCTCTTTATATGGTCTCATCCGAATGGGCTAGGATTCAATAACTGGAATTACCATGTCAGAGGGAGTCTTTAGGGCCAGACTTGTTTCTGATCTTTATATGGTTCCCCCAGATTCTTAAGATGCCAAAACAGAAAAGATGCTGCAGTGCCAAAAAAGGAGCCTTCTGAGTTTAGAAACTTCTCACACACTCTCAGAAGTCCTGGAGAAACTCCACCCTAACCCCAAAATATGAATCAGGCCAAGAGTTCTAAGTCCAAATTGCAACCTGTTTCAAAAAGCCAGTCCAAATACATGCATAAATTCCAACAGAAAGACATTTAGTTAAGCAAGATCAATTGCAAACTTCACACATATCCATCTTCCAGCTTCTAGGGGCAATGCAGCTCCCACATTCAATCTTACATTACTGACTAAAAACAAACTTCCCTTTCTTTCTCCAGCAATCTTAGAGAAGATCCAAGAAAGTTGTTCTTTATATGCTTGGCAAGTGAAAAGACTGATAGTAATACGGTATGTGCATACGCTTCAGGGCTGGCATCTACTCCTGCAATCTGTCCTCCACGCACAGTTCCAACTCTCCCAGTTTCTTCCTCCTGCCTCAACCCTGGGTCTGACAACTAATCCCTCAGAGAACTGAGTTTCTCCATAGTAGATTTAAGGTCATGGAAGGTAATGGATCACTCAATCTTATAAGTGAACTCCTGTGAATAAACATAGTTCTCTCAAGCTGAAATGGACATATCAAAACGCAAAGTCTATTTTACGTATAAGAAAGAAAGCTGATCATCAGTGAGTGCTAAAGCCATTAGGTACAAGACTGACTGGTGGGCAACTGGGCATTTTCACAGTGCCAAAGAATCAACCCATATATTACATGCTAGTTGCAGGGGAGAAAAACATTCCTTAACAATGGAGATATCTATCACTATCCTAACTCAGTGATCAAACTTAGCAGCATTAACAGTGGGACGTAATGTGCTGCTACTTGAAACACATGACACCACCCAGGAAAACTTCCTGCCTAAACCATTCATCTGGAATCTAATCAAGCCTTCCAATTTGATTTCCAGTTTACAAATCAGGTGAGAAAGTAATAAGTAAAATGACACTTGGAAGAAAGAATCAAACAAACCCAGGATGTGGGAAACTCTGGTAGAAGAACTGGCCTGATCTCTTCAAAAGTGTCAATGCCGTTAAAAAGAGAGGAGTGGGCCAGGTGCAGTGGCTCATGCCTGTAATCCCAACACTTTGGGAAGCTGAGGCAGAAGGATCACTTGAGGCCAGAAGTTCAAGACCAGCCTGGGCAACAAAGTGAGACCCCATCTCTACCAATAATAATAATAATAATAATTAGCTGGGTGTGGTGGTGTGCAGCTATAATACCAGCTACTCAGGAGGCTAAGGTGAGAAGATCACTTGAGCCCATGAGGTTGAGGCTACACTGAGCTATGATCATGCCACTGCACTCCAGCCTGGGCAACAGAGTGAGATGCTGTCATTAAAAAAAAAAAAAAAGGAGAAGTGAGGGAGTTAGGGGACTATTCTAAATTAAAAGAGACTTAAAAGAAATAAATCTAATTGTGTGATTCTTGATTGGATTCTGGTGTGAACAAAAGCGCTATAAAAATACTTTGAAGACAACAGTGGAAAATAAATTTGGAGTGGGTAATAGTGTTAGGAAATTATTCATACTGTTAGGTGTAGACTTGTGGCTTTCTAGGAAAATATCTTTTTTTTTAGATATATGCTGAAGTATCTAAGTAACATGTTATGATGCCTATAATTTGCTTTGAAATAATTCAGCAAAAAATTATGTATAAAACATATATTCTATTTTTAAATATTTTATAAATTATAATTTAAGCAAATATGGCAAAATGGTAGTAACAGTTGAATCTAGTTGATGGATATATGTTGTTCACTGTACTAATTTTTTCTACTTTTCTGGGTGTTTCTCATTTTAATGAAAAGTTAAAACAATAAAGAAACTAGAAGCATAAAGTTTAGGTTTAACAAAAAAGAAAAAAGGCAGGGTTGGTATGGAGGAGGGTACCAGCATGGAGGTTGTTCCTTGATGCATGTGCTCGTGAAAAACAATGGGACATTCTCCACCTAATGGTTGGTAATTCCTAATATGCTGGGGACCAGAAAACTACTCTACACCCAAAACACGGGGTCTCAAGATCCCTGTCATGACTACAGGTGACGGAGGAAGGTGCTTTTAGATAAAAGTGCCTCCCTGCCCACCCTAGCCTCCTGTGGAATATATTTTAATTGTGTATACCTGAAATTGGGGAAGAAAACAATGTGGTAGAAGAACACTAGAGGCCGGGCAGGGTGGCTCACGCCTGCAATCCCAGCCTTTGGGAGGCCGAGGAGGGAGGATCACCTGAGGTCAGGAGTTCAAGACCAGCCTAGCCAACATGGTGAAACCCTGTCTCTACTAAAAATACAAAAATTGGCCAGGCACGGTGGCATGTACCTGTAGTCCCAGCTACTCCAGAGGCTGAGGCATGAGAATCGCTGGAACCCAGGAGGCGGAGGTTGCAGTGAGCTGAGATTGCATCACTGCACTCCAGCCTGGGTGACACAGCAAGACTCTGTCTCAAAAAAAAAAACCACTAGATGAGACACCAACTAATCTGGCTTCTGGCTTCTAGTCCTTGCTCTGCCACAGACTAGGTCCACAACCCTGGGTTCTTCTTCATGCTAGAATTGATTCCTCCCACTTCCAAACTTCTGTAATTCTATGGATGTATGAATTGTGGCAAATTGAATTCAGGTACCTAGGAAGAAGGTACCTAGGAGGAAGGTACCTAAGCAAAACAGATGTAAATGGCAACACCAAACACTTATCCATTTAAGCTGAAATGAAGGAGACAGAGACAAAAATAGAGAGAACACAGGCTACAAAGAGAAATGAGAATATGTAAGCATAAGGACTTGACTGTTGGTGAATAAGCCAAGCTAGGTAATTAGAAATAATACATTAACGAATTCAAAGCTAATGATAAAATAATATCCAATGTCTATTTCACCATATGTGAAAGCTTTAGGAGGATTATTTGCTGAATCTTATGATATGATGAAGTGGGTACTACTACATACTAAGTTTACTGATGAGGAAACTAGGCTTAGAGATTAACTCAGCTAAAAATCATACTATTTGTAAATAACAGGGCAAGGATTCAAACCCAGGTGTGTCTGATACCTGAGCTTTGCAATGAAGCAGATGATACATGATTGCCTAGCGGCTAAGTTGCATGCCAGCTAGAATGGGCTTGAAAGAACAGAACTGCCATAGAAAACAACCAATCTGGGCTGAAACAAAGTGCCCAACAATCCAGACTGATAATACAAATATAAGACCCGGCAAGGGCAAACTGAAAGGACCATCTCTTTCATTTATTTCCCGGGCTCAAGGTAAGATGTACCTGTCAATGATACAAATATGTTCAATAAGACAGGAGGTCCAGAAAATAGCATGGTCTAATCCTTACCCCTTTAATGAGGCAAGTCAAGGATTAGATTGAGGGAAGCGTTAAGGGCAAAGTCAGAATTAAAAAGTGATGCCAAAATCATATTAGTAACAGCTTGAACACTGTGCCAAGCTGTGTTAGGCTGCATTCAGTATAAATCTTTGCACTTGGAAAATAGCTGTGTCTTTACTGCATGCTACAAGATATTTTCCACATATCAACAGTGGAGTAGCTTTGAAGAAGGAGGGACTGAATCAAGGAGGACATGTGATTTTGCCACAAGGAAGCAAAGGGGAAAAGCTATTTAAAGGTGGGGAGAGGGAGCAAAGGAAGAGGGAGCAGGAAGGAGGGACAGTCCCGGGTTCAAATTCTAGAAATGTCTCTTTCTAGCTGGGCAGCCTTGTGCTCATCATATCTCCACTGAGCCTCCTTTTCCTCATGTGTAAAATGAGAATGATCATGAGTCCCTTGCAGGTCTACTGTAGACACTGGAGAAAATCCCTGGCATAGAGTAGACTCCTCATAAATAGTGATAACAGTGGCTATTATATTATTTTCAGAAATAATAATAACAGTAATAAAATGCAGACTTCAGAAGAGGAATCCTTAATGCTTAGGGTTGAGACAATGGAAGTTTCTGGTGGCCAGGTGTTACAGGGCCTTTTACTTGGGGGAGGCCTTGCACATATTTCATTCTAAGGATCCAATTATCTATTCCAGCTTCCCTGAAGAGAGAGATATCCTTGAAAGCTGCCCAAATCAAGAAGAGGAAACCACAGTTCTGTAGCTCAATGAGACATAACATGATGCTCAGGACAGCCACAGTGTTTGGCAAATGCTCTACTGGTGTCGCACTTCCCAAATGTTCACACATAACCTATAATAAAAAGAGCCATATCCCACAGCTCAATACAGAGTCATCAAACTGCCCAATTTAAGTGACTCATGGGATAGGGCTGCCAGTAGTTTGTTGAAGAGGCGGATCCAAAGAGAACAGATTTCAGCCCTGAAAACCATTCTTCAAATTCACCCTGGACTTTCCCACCTTGGATGGCATCTTCTTAATCTCAATTACATCCTTTTGGGTCATCCTACATCAGCTCTCCCTTCTTCCTCTTCTTGGGTCTATATACCTTTCAGACACTTATAAAGACATGCCCCATTTCCCTATACTTTCTGCCATTCAGCCAACATAAAAATTCTTTTCAACATTCATCATAAACCAAAACCTATACATTTCTGTCATTCTCTTAACTCCTTTCTGTTTATTAAAATCAACCCAGCATGTGTGTAGCCAGAAATGTGCATAATATTGAAGGTGTAAATTCCCAACACTCTAAGAAGCAACCCCTCCTGGCACATGACTTAGTGACTTTGTATAAGCACAGTCTAGCCTTGCTACCTCAACCAAAGCCAGGATGGAATGACTTGGAACAAGCTGAGAGCAGTAGAAGCAAGCTGTAACCTTGATGCTTTAGGAAACCTGATCTCTCACAAGACTCCTCAAGGGTGATAATGGAAAAGAAGTGAGAGAAGCATTAACCCATGGGCTGGCGGCCCCCATCATGTGAGACCTAGAGAGAAATGCCTGGCTTCATTCCCCACTCTGTATCACGCAGTGGTGAGACCAGGGACACTGCAGGTTTCACACTGCAGTTCTTAATCTTGCCTTAGTTGTGGGAGCCCAAGGAGAAGACACTATAAGTACAGAGCAAGGTCATGGCTAGCAAATTAGTACACATTTCACTATCCCTACTATATACCATTTGAAAAGTGGCCCCAGCACAGGCGCAGTGGCTCACACCTGTAATCCCAAAATTTTGGAAGGCCAGAGCAGGAGGATTGCTTGAGCTCAGGAGTTCAAGACCAGCCTGGGCAACAAAGTGAGACCCCATCTCTACAAAAAATAGAAAAAATTAGCCAGGCATGGTGGCATATGTCTTTAGTCCCAGCTACTCAGGAGGCTGATCTAGGAGGATTGCTTGAACCTAGGAGATAGAGGCTCCAGTGGGCCATGATCCCACCATTGCACTCTAGCCTAGGCAACAGAGTGAGACTCTGTCTCAAAAAAAAAAAAAAAAAAAATGTCCCCAGTAATCCTAAAAAATATTTTTTAAACATCTAGAACTGTTTCCCAAACTTCTGGATTTCATAAACTGTTAATATTTCAAAAAGCAAATTTCTGTTTGTGTGGATTGGCAGTACAGCTTAACAGCTTTTAATTTTGTTAAGAACATTTTTTTAACCATTTTTTAAATGGTTAAAAAATCATTTCATTAAAGAATGGACCTTTCTAATCTTCCCAAATTAGAAAGGACACAAACCGGGATAAGAAATGGTCCTTTAAATGGAATAAATTTAGCTTACAAAAAACTTACTACATTGTTCTTGGATTTCTCCTATCAGTAAAAACTTCCTTATGCATACACCAGTGTTAAAACATGCTACAGTCTCTTTCTCAGCTTATCAGTCCAAGCCCCAGGTTAATTTCTCAGGTTCTTTTCCCACCCTTTCTCAAATGAGTAAGGCTGAAGGCCAGCTCCTCTACCACCCCAGCTGACAATGGCCTAACATGAAAGGCAGGACCTAGGAACAGTCACTTAATCCATAAATTTTACTACTCAGCTTGAGGCTGCACAGAAAGACCCTCCCCACTCCTGCCCTTGAAACAGCACACTGCCGACCTCTCTAACTCTAGAGGCCTTTTTAGATTAACCTTTCCTAGTGCTCAGCACAGCATCCACATGGATGAACACTTGCATTCTGGTGACTTAGCTCTGGTCGCTGGGCCTCTTTCATACCCATGTTTCTGGTCATTACTTCCAAGTTGCACCACTAATGTCAGAACACTTTCTGTCTCGATAGCTAATATATCAGAACGTCCCTGTCACTAGTCCCAAGGGAAAATGGACACAAACTGTCTCTGCACCAATCACTCTCATTCTTTTCTCACCAATAATATCATCTGAAAAAAAAAAAAGTGTATGTTGAAACAGTCCAAAAGCAATTGGCACATAATGGGAAAGTAGTATGTATTCAACTAATTGTCACACAGATAATAATTATAACTTTGGACAAAACATATAAAACCACTATTAGAAGATACTGGAGAGGAAACAAAAGCAGGCAGAAACTGAAGGAGATTTTATCCTTGAAAGAAAAGAACTGGATTGGTAAAAATCCATGCTCAAATAGATTATCTGAGTGTGAATGCACTCAGTCTGTACAGCAATTGGGTAGCTGGAACTCCAGCAGAAAGCTGCAATTTTATTGGCTTTAAGAACAAAGCTCAGGGCTGCTAGAGGGGCTAGAAATAGGGGAAAATCCTGAGAAGAAGGGAGCCCCCAAATACATACACAAATTTCTCTAAAATTCTCAGTCAATACCTGAATTGTACATGCATAAAGGAGACTCCAAGAAACCCAGTGAAAAGCAACTGCTGAAAGGATAATAAAAAGCTGAGTAGAGATGAAATTTCATTGCAAGGGAGGCAGAGTTTGGAGTTTGAGTTCCACAAAGTTAGAGGTGCTTGGTACAAACATTGGGTCTTTCACCGAAATCCCCGAAGAGCCATCTGAGGAGTAAAGACCATGTCCCAGGACTATGGGATTTGCTCTAGGACAAAGGGCAAAACCAAAATACACCCAACCTAACACAGTCCGAAACCAAGTTCCCACAAGTTTAAGGTGATCCACAAATAGTTTAACAGCCTACTAAAACAAAAATAAACACTTTTCAGAGGAAGGTAATTCCAGAGTTACTGTAATTTTTCATCTACAATGTCTTATGTACAAACAAAATTACTAGACATATGAAGAAGTGTGAAAATGTGATCTATAGTCAGAAGAAAAAATAGACAATAAAAACTGACCCCAAGATGACCCAGATGTTAGAATTAACAGACAAGAACTTTAAAGCAGCTATATAAGGACCTTATAAGCAGCTATATGTTCAAGGACTTATGGGAAAAGATGGCCATAATGAATGAACAGATGGGAAATCTAGGAAAGAAACAGAAGCTATGTAGGAAAAAACAGATGGGGAAAAATAAATGGAAATTTCTAATTTAAAAGTAAAATATCTAAAATGAAAAAAATCAGTTGGGCTTAACAGCAGTTTGAACACAACAGTAAAAATCATCAGTGAACTTAAAGACAGACCAATAGAAAATACCCAATCTGAAGGACAAAAGGACAAAAGATAGGAAAAAAAATTAATAAGGCTTCAGAACAAAAAACATAGAACAAACTTATGGAACAATATCAAGCAGTCTAACATTTATGCAACTAGAGTCCCAGGCACAAAGAGAAAGAAAATAGGGCAGAATAGATATTTGAAGAAGTAATCGCCTAAGACTTTCTAAATCTGGGGTGACAAATATCAACTGTGAGATCAGCAAACCTTAGCAAATCCTAAACAGAAAAAAATCAAAGAAAATGACACACAGTCACATCATAGTCAAAGTGCTAAAAAGCAAAGATAAAGACAAAATCTTTAAAGCAGCCAGAGGGAGGAGAAAAGACTTACATACAGAACAATCGGGGGAAAAATGGCCAGAGGACAAAAGGTATGGCAATTTTTAAAGTGCTGAAAGAAAAAAAAAACTCTCAATCTGGAATTCCATATCAATATAAAATATCCTTCAAAATGAGGATGAAATCAAAACATTTTCAGATTTCAGATAAACTAGATAGAGAAGTTGTTCTTGGCAAATCTGTGCTACCAGAAATGCTAAGGGAAGTTCTTCAGGCTAAAGAGAAATGACACCCCCAGATGGAAACTTAGATCTATTGGAAGAAATGAAGAACAACAAAAAAGGCAGAATATCTCTCAGTGACAACTGTTTAAAGTAAAATGACAAACTGGGCTGGGGGTGGTGGTTCACGCCTGTAATCCCAGCACTTTGGGAGGCCGAGGCAGGTGGATCACTTGAGGTCAGGAGTTTGAGACCAGCCTGGCCAACATGGTGAAATCCTGTCTCTACTAAAAATGCAAAAATTAGCCAGGTGGGTGGTGGGCGCCTCTAATCCCTGCTACTTGGGAGGCTGAGGCAGGAGAATTGCTTGAACTGGGAGGCAGAGGTTGCAGTGAGCCAAGATCATGCCACTGCACTCCAGCCTGGGCAACAGAGTGAGACTCTGTCTCAAAAACAAAACAAAACAAAAACCCGACAAACTGTATTGCAAAGTTCTTAATATAAATAGTTTTAAAATATATGCTATTAATACCACAAAGGACTGGGGGGACAAATGGACTTAATGGCTGCAAGGGTCTCACATTTTATATGAAGTGGCATAATTTTTTTTTTTGAAACGGAGTCTCGCTCTGTAGCCCAGGCTGGAGTGCAGTGGCACGATCTTGGCTCACTGTAACCTCTGCCTCCTGGGTCACAGTTCAAGCAATTCTCCTGCCTCAGCCTCCCAAGTAGCTGGGATTACAGGCGTGTGTCACCACGCCCAGCTAATTTTTGTATTTTTAGTAGAGACGGGGTTTCACTATGTTGGCCAGGCTGGTCCTGAACTCCTGACCTCTTGCTCCACCCGCCTCGGCCTCCCAAAGTGCTGTGCTGGGATTACAGGAGTGAGCCACCAAACCCGGCCATGGTATAATATTAACTCTATGTAACCAGTGATAAGGATGCATATTTTAAATCCTAGAGTAATCACTAAAAAAAAAAGTATAAAAAACAATACCTAAAAGCCAATGGAGGAATTAAAATGGAACTTAAAAGCAATCGGCTAAACACAGTGACATAACTCTCTATTATACTGGGTAAAAGCACGTGACCAGAAATGTTTCAGTCTATCACCAATGACATTCGACATTAGTCAGTACCCTTTTCCTGTAAAGTATCATTATTTAAAGAATATTTTACTATCATTCTGCTCCTTTTCAGTAATTATTGACATGTCACATAATAAGAAGAAATCTAGCCTAGCTAATGATTTCAATGAAGCTTTCTGATCACAACCTTACGGTTTCTAAGCAGATTAGATATTCTATATTCACAGCACACTCTCTACATCTCCTTGCCTCTCCTAAATCCTGGCTTCCCCCACGGACTTCGTTGCTCTCGCAGCTCTTTCAAGTAGAGTCTGCTCATTTTTTAAAACCCTGCAAACCCAAGTCCCAAGACAATACTCCTGTTTCACTCCCCAAAGTTCCTCTAGACCATTATTCTTCCAAATTATTATGAAAACACTTCTTTCAAAACTTGTACCATTCAGCTATACCACCTCTCTCCTTCATTCCTGTCACTAACAATGCCCTGAGCACACACTGACCAAAAATTTGGGCATTTGGCTCCCTCTCCACAACTATTCTCATTATTCTAAGCCAAGTTAGTGTTCACATGAACAGTTCTAATGTTTAGCCTTGTGGTTCCCAGACCCTTTAAATGCCAATGGCCTTGTTGCTACTTTTTGAAACTCCAGTCATAACTGGAACTGCTCCATCTCTGAAATATCCAGTCCCCTCCTTCCCTCCTCATCTAACAACTTCCTTCTTGGTGTCACTTCTTTCCCTATCAACCTAGCTCATTCCCAAGGTCGATGACATCATGCCACCCCCCCCCTTACCTTTTTACCACACTTCCCCTTGCTATGGTTGGAATGTCCCCTCTAAACTTGGGTTGAAATTTAATTGCCATTGTAACAGTATTAAGATGTGAGATTATTATTTATTTTATTTTTTGAGACACAGTTTCACCCTTGTTGCCCAAGCTGGAGTGCAATGGCACCATCTTGGCTCACTGCAACCTCTGCCTCCCGGGTTCAAGCAATTCTCCTGTCTCAGCCTCCTGAGTAGCTGGGATTACAGGCCTGCGCCACCACGCCCAGCTAATTTTGTATTTTTAGTAGAGATGGGGTTTCACCATGTTGGTCAGGCTGGTCTTGAACTCCTGACCTCAGGTGATCCGCCCATCTTGGCCTCCCAAAGTGCTGGGATAAAAGGCATGAGCCACCATGTCCGGCCAAGATGTGGGATTTTTAAGAGGTGGTTAAGCCATGAGAGCTTCTGCCCTCATGAATGGATTAATGCCATTATCACTAGAGTGGGTCCCTTATAGAAGGATAAGTTCAGTCCCCTTTTGACTCTCCCTCTCATATGCCCTCTTGCCCTTCCACCTTCTGCCATGGGATTACTCAGCACAAAGGCCCTCACCAGATGCCAGCACATTGATCTTGGACTTCCCAGCTTCTAGAAGTGCGAGAAAATAAATGTCTGTTTGTTCATAAATTACTCACTCTGTGGCATTCTGTTAGAGCAGCATAAAACAGACCAAGACACCCCCTAAAGCCTGGATCAAGCCAACTACCTGCTTCCACTGTGTCAAGATCCAGCCTGCTCAGGGGTGTTGGAGAAACTTGCACAACCATGCGAATTAAGGCCTAACAAATTCATGCTCTGCCTTCCCTCAGCAGGGTCCTACCTGGTCTCCCTGCTTCCAGTCTCACCTACCTCAAATCTATATCGCATGCCTGCATGGGCCCCTGGAAGTTACAGAGAATTCTAGATAGCGAGGGGAAGCTAGGTTCCAATCAGGAGTCATTTCTATGTAAGTATTTCTGGTAAATTGCCTAACAAGGTCTCTGAAGAAAGGCATCTGAACATCAAAGACTCCAGTAACTCAGCTATGACTTTTTTTCCAATTATAAGTATTTGCTTTTATACCTGATTTTGAATCTATAATTTTGAATTGTTTTTCTTAAAGAAGGCCGCCAAATTGCATAAGCTTCAGGACTCATAAAACCTGGATCCATCCCCGTCCAGTTGTTGCCAAAGTGTTCTTTCTAAGATGCAAATCCAATCATACTGCTTCTCTACTGAAAATGTGTTTGCACTTGGAGATCATGAAGGGTCTATGTGTCAAAAAAGGAATCGGGAGTTCATGCTATAGGTTCTTCATAGAGACCCTAGAATATATGCTGATGACCCCCATATCTGTTATCACTAGTTTCCAACTTTCTCTCTTAAGCTCCATACCACATTTTCAACTTGGCAGACCTCTTTGAAAATCCTGAAGGCAACTCAAATTCAGCATGTCCCAAATTGAAATAATTATCCTTTCTTGTTCACCAACTGCTAAGACTCTTAAATTCTCAGTCTCAAAAATGTCATTATCCATTCAGTCTTTTCAGCTACAAGCGGGCTCAACTCCAGACTCTCCTTCTCTCCCACTTCCAACAGCCAATCTGTTACCACATCCTATCTGCCTGCCCTCAAACAGGTCTCTTGTCACTGACCTCTCCTCTTTAGACCCCTCCGCCAGGTTTTTGTTTATTGTTTCCCAAAGTAAGGCACATATGCCACTGGTGAGATGCCTGGTAAAGGTAAATAGATGAACCTTTTTAAAAATAGCCAGTTATGGCCACACGCAGTGGCTCATGCCTGTAATCCCAGCACTTTGGGAGGCCGAGGCGGGAGGATCATGAGGTCAGGAGATCGAGACAATCCTGGCGAACACGGTGAAACCCCGTCTCTACTAAAAATACAAAAAAAAAAAAAATTAGCCTGGCGTGGTGGCAGGCGCCTGTAGTCCTAGCTACTCGGGAGGCTGAGGCAGGAGAATGGCGTGAATCCAGAAGGCGGAGCTTGTGGTGAGCCGAGATTGTGCCACTGCACTCCAGCTTGGGCAACAGAGCAAGACTATATCTCAAAAAAAAAAAAAAAAAAAAGAAGCCAGTTATGTATGTTATGTATACTAAGAAAAATATAAATATCACAAATGATCATTTCATTGAAAACATTTTTTAAAAATAAATGCATTTAAGTATAAAAGGAAAGTTGATTTAAAGAGAAAAGTTAATAATGTGAGTGGTATGTATTGTAACTGTAAAAATGTAAAACTGTTAAAATGATGGGGAAACGCCTGAAGTTTGGGAATGCTGCCTTGGTTGATGCCTTCATCACCTCTCAGAAGGACTGCTCCAACCGCCTCCCAGCGATCTCCCTGCCAACAAGCTCTCCCACTCTATCCTCCAGTGTAGCTGCCAGATTCATCTTTCTAGAAAACAAAGTTGGTAACGTCATTCTTTGCTTTAAAATCTTTGTGGGCTCCCTACAACATAGAAAACAAACTCTTATTTCTCCACTTGGAATGCCAGGCCTATGTTCCCAATACATTAAATGGTTTTACCGTGCCCTAAAAACCCCCAGCCCCTGTGCAATGGCATGCCTTAGAACAGGCTTTGCAGGCCGCCAGAAATGGCTTTTTGCCCTCCTTGCTCATTAGCAAATTCCTACTCATTCATGTCAACCCACTTCAAGAGCTGCCTCTTTTAGAAAGCCTTCCCTAACTCCTAGGCAGGGTGAGGTGATCCTTCTGGGTTCCTGAACTCAGATAGTACTTCAGAATTATAATTTTTGGTATAGGTGTGTGGTTCCCCACTTAGAATATGAAGTTTTCTTGTTCATTTTGTATCAGAAAGTGTATATTAAATGTAGGATAAATAAGTAAATGAATGAATAAAATTCTACTTATAAATATGTATATAAAAATATATATAAATGTGCCAGGTGTGATGGCTCATGCCTGTAATCCCAACACTTTGGGAGCCCGAGGTAGGAGGATCACTTAAGGCCGGGAGTTTGAGACCGGCCTGGGCAACACAGTGAGATTGTGTCTCTACAAAAAATTAAAAAAAAAAAAAAAAAAATATATATACATATATATATATATATATATATATATATATATATATATATATATAAAATGAATTTATATATAAATGAATATTATATATATATAAATGAATGAATGGGCAAAGCAAAATGGAGTATGGGGGTTGGAGTTCTTTGTTATCACTGGTTAAGAGGACAAAAAGAGATGCAGGAAAAAGAGAAATAGTAGAGATAAAACAGAGGAAGCTCAATAAGAGAGAGAAAAAAATAAAGAGATGTCGGAACTAGGCATAGTGGCTCACGCCTATAATCCTAGAGCTTTGGGAGGCCAAGGTGGGAGGACTGCCTGAAGCCAGGAGTTCAAGGTCATCCCGAGCAACACAGCATGACCTTGTCTCTACAAAAAATAAAAATAAATTAGCTTGGCGTGGTGGTGCATGCCTATAGTTCCAGTTACTCGGCAGGCCGAGGGGGAGGATTGCTTGAGCCCCAGAGTACATGTCATAGCCTAGTCACTGAATTCTTTCAACAAGGATTTACTGAGACCTCACTCAGTGTGTACTGTGCCAGGCACACATGGCCCCCTCTCTGACTGCTCCCTGAAATTGCAGGGACCCCTGCTGCTAAATCCAATAGGACCTGCTCAGGCCTTCCCTTCCTGGACCCTCTTGGCAGCATCAAACACTGCTGACCCCTCAGTCCATCATGACACTCTCACTTATCTTGGCTTCTGGACACCATAGGTGCTTGGTTTCTCCTCTCCTCTCTGGCCACCACTCCTCAATTTCTTTTGGCAAGCTATTTTTTGGCTATGTGTTTCCTAAACACAAGTGGTCCTCAGCTTCTGTCTGTTCGTCCACTTCCGTCAGAAGCCCTCTCCTCTTACTCTAAAACCCTCTCTTAGAGTGTTGGGCTTCCATTTAGCACCTCAATGCTAAGAACTTCCAAATCTCCAGCTCCAGCCCACAGCCTGGTATACACAAGTCCCATGCATCAAAGCCTCTTGGGCATTTCCTGCAGGTTGAATACATCATCCCCCACTCCTCACACCTGAGGATTCATTTAACCAACACTTACTGAGGACCTACAAAGTGCCAGTCTCCAGGGAGGAGAAGAGCCATTTCTGCAGCTTGCAATTGGTCAGAGAGATGAAACTAAATAAGGACACAAACATATGATTACAAACTGTGATTGAAGTGATAAGGAAAATGTGAAAAAAGAAACGAGTGCATATAATAAAGGGACCGCACTTAAATCAACTACAATAGCTGACAGGTGTGAAATGAGGCTGGCCATGCAGAGAAGACCCAGATGACACAGGACTAAGTTAAGGATTTGGGTTTTGTTTTGTTTTGTTTTGTTTTTTTATCTTAAGTGCAACGAGTATCCATTAAAGGGTTTGACCGTGAAATGACTGATACACATTTTTACAAGACCACTCTAGCTAAACTGCAGGACAGTGGGAATATAAGAGGAGGGACCAGTTATGAGGCAACTACTGAAGCCCAGGTGGGATGATAGTAGCTCAAATCATTTCTCTAATTTCCCCCCAACCCCCACCCCCAAACAAACACTTTTATTTTCTAATAGAATTCTATTCACAGCCTAGATCCTGACAAGTCTCTGCTCTGGTCACTTTGCCTAAATAGAAGTCACTTCTCATTACAACAAAGGTATCATTCCCATGAAAAGTTTCACATACCAAAAAAAGATTTCTGAACACAGCCAGTGGTCTATTTACTCCAAAAAGGAGTCAAACCAAATTCCAACATTGCAATAGAATCTGAAATCCTTGAGCATACCTCGGAGATTTTTCTTGACCAGCAAACACAAATGCACAGAGGAAGGTACAGTGGTTGCACTGAAGATGCAGCAATAAAAGACAAGGCTAAAAATACTGAAAGCTCACTGTTTAGTTCTCATAACATTACCAATTATTTCAGTGTCATATTAGAAATGTTGACCTCATATAGGTCATTTGTGAAAAGGCAAAGGGGCTGGTTTTCAAACACTTGGTCCATTTATCAAGGAAGGCCAAAGGGGCTGGTTTCAAATACAAAGTCACTTACGACCACCCCTCTATCACCTGTATGGTCAACTGCTCCATTAACAAATCCACCATGCCATGCTCTCTCTCTTGTCTCCAGAACTTGGCTCACACTCTTCCCTCTACCTGGAATATTCTTCCCCCTCTTCTCTTGGCTAATTTCTACTCATCCTTCAAGTCTCTCAGCTCAAACCTGATTTCTTCCTGGACCACCTTTTTGGATATCCCTGAGAATAAAATGGGCTCAACGTGTTTACTCTCATATCTTCTGTAATCACCTCTACCTGACACTTCTCTGCAAGCCCCTAAATCAAAGTTCTAGAAGGCAGGGAGCATGTCTGGTTAATTATTGTATTCCAAGTTCAAAGCACAATACCTGGCACACAGAAAGCTCCCAATCAAGTTTCATAAATGAATGAATATTTCCTTTTTTCCAAGGTAACTGAGGTCACCAAGGTCACTCCTGCCCTCTTCATTTTCTACTCATCTGCCCCCAGAACAACAAAATGATATAAGTCAGCAATTAAGGATTATTCTTTGGAAAGACTGTCGACCTTCAGACAGAGAGTTGCATTTTGTTGACAGAAAGGTGTTGGCAAACAACTGGCCAATGGCATAGGCAGAAATGCTACTACAAGAGACAAATAAAATGGGTCTCAAGTGGCACAAAGAATTCTTACTGAAAGGATTCCTCACCCAAATGTTTCTTTGCCATAAGGGCCAGTTGTTAGTCTATGAAATATGAATATCTCTGTATCTTGGACAGAACTGATATTTAGGATAAATTGATAATACATTCTAATTCTCGTTTGATACAGATAAGGACAATAATAGTTAGCAGGTGTTGGGCACTGCTCTAAGAGCTTTATATATTTTATTTAACCCTCCAACAACCCAATGAGATAGATACTACTATCATCTCCATTCAACAGATGAGGAAACTGGCTTACAGTAGTTAAGTAACACACCCGGGATACACACCTAGCAACTGGCAGAGCTGGGATTAAAGACAAAACGATCATCTTTTCTACTTCTCAGATTACATAGAAAATCACAAGAGAGGACTCACAGTGCACTGGGCTAAGCTCTTGACACATATTTCTCACTTAACCCTCCCCATAGGCGAGGAGGAGAATCTTAAAGTGCTCTTTGAGCACCAACTTGCACTCTGGGTCTCACAGAAGCCAGCAAGAAAGCATGTTTTCCTGGGGCACTTCAAGAGCATTTGACAAAGCCAGAGCCAGTGCTGGCGGAGAATCTCAAGATGTTGATTTCCAATTGCAGGCTCTACCCTGAGATGACATTCCCTCCCACACAGCGGCCGGCCCCAGGGATGGGTCAGCGATGCACATCTGCACACTCCAAGGGAGAGTTCAAAACCAAAGCATGCCAAGCATGACATAAATATGAAGTGTGGAAAACACATTCCTTATGAACAACTCCATATCAAATTCCCTGCATCCCTCTTTGGCAACGTTATCAGAAGCATCATTCAACCCAGCCGATTGGAGAGCGGCTATGAAAAACGCTGGAAAATGTGACCAATCAGGAGAGTTATTTTTGTGAGAAAGAAGAAAAATGTCACCAAAAAGGGTCAGCAGATAACCCTATTGGGCTGAAAATAACTGCCTGGCTGGCAGACCAGTAAGGGGACAGGCGGAGGGCGAGAGACGTAATGCAAAGTGCCAAGGGAGCTCCGGCCGAGTGAGGCTGCTGGGGGATGAGGAAATTGGCCTAATTTGGGAACATGAGCCCAGCAGCATTTCTCAGATTCCTGCGAGGGAATCTGGCTAACTTTCAGTTCTGCGTCCTCGGAGGAACACCAAGGGAATAGGGGGAGAGAAAGGGAACAGCTGTGACTCCAACACTTCTCTAGACCACTGAACGAATAAGGGTGATCAAGTGAGAACTTACTCCCATTCCAAAAGGACCCCAAGGGAATGACCCTAAGTCTCTCCGCCCTTTCCAAAATCCTCTTCTCTACTGGGAGGTCTGTGCTTCTTCCCATCTAGCAGGTAGGAGAGGTTAGGCACTTGAGTCAGAAAGACTCAACTAGAGTCACAGATTAGCTGAATGCTTCTGACAAGTTACCCAGACTCTTAAAGTCTCCATGTCCTCACATGTACAACATGATGATAAGAGTACCTACTTCAAGAGCTACCATAAGGCTCAACTAGGACACTGCATGTAATGAACAGATAGCTAGCAACTGTTGCAATGTAAGCTATGATGATGATTATTAAAAGGACAATCTGCAAAATAAAAGCTAAGCCAAAAACAGGTCTAGATCCCAGCAAGAAATGCTCATCCAAAAGATGAGCTAGCCCTGGAGAGGTTTTGCCAAAGATTACTTTTGCCCAAACTCAGTAGAAGGTAACTTTTCGGTAGAAAGCATCTGGGTCTGTCCTTAAAAGAGTTCTGTGAGGGCACAATCATTTGAATCAATAGAAGGTCAAGGCTCAAGCAGAGAAATCTGGTTTAACTCTCAGACCCATCCTCCCTAGAGAAAGCTATACATCACAGACATGTAGACACTCATCATAGAACTATCTTCCAGCAAAATCCTCAATACCTATAATTCCAACCTGAACTGCTAGCTGAACCATGCTTCTAGTGATCCAAGCCTGATTTGCAACAGGTGCACCCCACCCCACCCAAAAAATGTAGTCATAAGCTTTCTTAGTACTTATCATTTCTCCTTGGGTTTCTGTGTGCCGGATACCGTGCTAAGTACTTTACATGCATTACCTCATTTGATCTTCACAACAACCCTAAAAAAGTAGACACAACTCCAATCTACTCCAAACTAGTAAAATCACACAAAGAGTTCATCTTTCTGGTAAATTTTAAAATTAGACAGTTAAGTGATTTGAAATGTATCGAATGACCAAGCAAATAAAGAGACTTTTCCTCTTCTCTCAGAGCAGGAAGAAGAGTTTAATTACCTGGACCAAACCACAGGCATCCTACTGGCACCACGTCCTAAGTGGGTATGGAGACAATCAGAAGGAAAAGATCAAGAAGAGGCCACTGAATCAGATATCCTGGAACTTAGGGCATACAATTTTTTTTCACTCAACTCCAAAACAAAAACTGGAGAAGAATGTACATTTTTTTTAAGCTAAAATAATTTTCTCTTCATACCCAGGGCTACAAAAAAAAAAAAGGGCTTTCTATAATTTCTATTTGTTTTAAATTGACATGTCATTTTTGAACTGCCTACTCAAGAGCCATTCTACTCACCTCCCTTACCAAGAAACCCCGATGCTATGGTGTGGTAATGTGCCCATTAAAAACTCCCCTGAAACTGAGAGTGTGGCTGTAAGATCCAGTTCTGACCAATGAAATGAAACTAGAGCTCTCCTTAGTGAGGACTCTGGCTACTGTTTTCCTGATAAGAAGGGGTACACCCTTCTTACTGGCATGCACCTTGAACTCTTCAACAATTCCCTCTCTTCCCACCTAGAATGCATATCTGATCCCAGGAGAATGACCAGCCATCTTGCAACCATGAGAACAAAAGTCACAGGCTCCAGATAGCAGAGCAGGAAGCTGGAAGGAGCTAGAGTAATGCAGGACATGCTCCAGTGACTGCACCCACTCTGCTCTGCCCTCCACTGGACTCTTTGCTATGTGAAAGAAAAATTGCTCCTGTTTGATTCAAGTACTGAAGTTGTTTCTGTTGTAGGCAACCAGATTCAATACTGATAGATAGAGGAGGCCACTTGAAAAATTAATCTATCCTAAAAGACAGGAGTTTTCAATTCAGACGGAAATGGGAACCAGGCAGATCAAATGTGAGTAAATCTGACCAGGTGTATCAAAGTACTAAGCAGTTAACTGGAGAGGGATGGATGCATGTAAGCTATCAGCAGCTGCAGCACCAGCCAATTGCCGCCATGTGGGAATGTCAACCCAGCATTCTCACTGTGCCAGGGCTTCTGATTTTAAAGAGAAGCCCCAAATCTGAATTTCCATATTACATTTCCTGATTTATAAATGCGAACCAAATTTAAAAATTCTTAACCCTGTATGGATCACATAAAACATGACTATAGGCCAAATTCAGCCTGAAGGCCACCAGTTTTCAACCTCAGTAGAGGTTAAGGTGGAATAAAAAGAATGCCCAAGTTCTAGAGAAATAATAATGGTTGGCAACATACTGAGCATGTGTGTGTCAGACTAAGTTAAGGGTTATATCACTTTGTCTTTCCAGCTATCCTATGAAGTATGGAATATTATTATCCCTGTTTCACCAAAACAGGAATAATAGGAAAATGAGGCTTAGCAAGATTAACTCAGTATCACAGAAGCTAATGTATGACAGGGCCAGGATTTCAGCCCAGACTGGTATGACTCCTAGGCCTGTGCTTTTACAGACTCTTAAGAAACGCCTGCTGCAACTAGAAAGCAAAAAAACTTTTCTCCAGGTTGGGTGTGGTGGCTCACACCTGTAATCCCAGCACTTTGGGAAGCCAAGGCAGGAGGATCGATTGAGGCCAGGAGTTTGAGACCAGCCTGGGCAACATAACAAGTCTTCGTCTCTACAAAAAAAAATCAGTCAGGTGTGGTGGTGCATGCCTGTGGTCCCAGCTACCCAGGAGACTGTGACTGGAGGATCGCTTGAGCCCGGGAGTTCAAGGCTGCAGTGAGCCATTATCATGCCACTGCATTCCAGCCTGGGAGACAGAGCAAGACCCTGCCTCAAAACAAAAACAAACAAAAAAACCCTCTGCTCTGGATACCTACTAGCCAACCTATGGATAAATGAGTAGTAGCCTGTGAACAGATTTCCAAATCAGTTCTAAGAGACTCTGGCTGGCATGCTCTTTCTTCGGTGCCCTTTAATAAAAGCAGCAAAGTGCTGTCCCAATATGCCTTTATTCACTAATTTATTGAATGAATGCTTGCACAGTGCTTTTCAGTTTATTAAAAAGCGTCTCAATGCGTATCTCACTTGCCCCCATATCAACCTGGTGGTATTACTATCACTATTTGACAGATAATGAAATGGAGAATTAGAGAGATTGGTGGACTTAATCACAATCCAGGCAATTAGCACCCAGTCCTCTGGTGCGAAGCCCTGTGTTCTTTCTGCTTCCTTCACCAGAGCTCCCAACTCCACTACCTCGCTTTAAAATAACCATGTGTTTGAACTAATTTCCACTTAAGTCTAAAGTAACTCCAGCATGTCTGACAGCTCCCAGGTACCATATTTACGTTTGCATGGATATCTTCATCCTAGAATACAGTCAGCAAGAGGACAAAAATAAATATATCAAGTAATAGAATCGGAATGTAAATGGGCACACACACAAGTCTTGGGATCTAATTTTAGAAAGAAACAGCCAAAAAGTCCCACACAGCACAGTGAGCATCTGGCCCCGTGGGAGGCTGCCCACACTGTTTAAACCTCAATTAGCCCAGGGAGAAAGGGATCCTGGAATCCTAACTGGCATCTTGCTTTCAGAGGCAACAGTTGGGTGAAGAGCAGAATGACTTTTCATCATGTTCTCCCACAAAAATGGTAATGCACAGAGTTAAAAAAAGGTAAACCTCGAAATAAGTAGGTATTACTGAATGGCTGAAACCCTGAAAGGATTCATCACACTCTGTGACTATGGAGTTATATTCTCACAGCAATGATTCTCACATGGGAGCCAAGGGAAGTGGATGGTAGGCAAGCAGGGCCCACTGACCCCAGCCTAGGAGCTGATTTGGTATGGGGGTCATATAAGGCTTCAAGGCCTAATGAGGTCATCACAGGCTCATTCACCTAACTACCATAGGTGGCTATAACCTCCTTCACAATTAAGTAGACTTTAAAATATATATACATACATACACACACACACACACACACACACACACACACACACACTCTTGTTAATATTTATATATATATATATAATATATACTCTTATTGTTAATTATATATTTATGTATATATCACTCTTGTTGCCCAGGCTGGAGTGCAATGGCAAGATCTCAGCTCACTGCAACCTCCGCCTCCCGGGTTCAAGCAATTTTCCTGCCTCAGCCTCCCAAGTAGCTGGGACTATAGGCACATGCCACCCAAACCCAGCTAATTTTTAAATATTTTGCAAAGACAAGGTTGCCCAGGCTGGTCGTGAACTCCTACGTTCAAACAATCCTCCTGCCTTGGCTTCCCAAAGTGCTGGGGTTACAGGGGTTACAAGCATCAGCCACTGTGCCTAGCCTTAAGTAGACTTTTAATTATTCTTCCTGGGTGCCAGTGATCACGAGAATGTAACTTCCATTATGGCAAGAGATCTTGTCTCTTTTGTTCACTGAAATATGCCAACCCTGCAAAATGGTGCCTGGCACTTACTGTGTGCTTCAATAAATAGTTGTTGAGTAAATGAATGAATGATCTGGTGTTGGAATTAATCCTCCTGGACCCATGTGGAACAGTGTAAAGTGCCAGAGGCCAAGAATTGGCTTCCATCAGCTCAGTCATTTGCTTCCGCGTTTTCTCTTTAAATACATACACCACTGCAGTTCAAGCTCCCTGAGATCCAGGGTTGGGTCTGGTATATCTTCTTTCACCAAATTCCTACTTTATATCACCTCTCCTAACTGTGCCTCCAATGCTCCACTATCCTCGCCTCCCAACCTCCCTGCCCCAGGCCCCATAACACTTCTACATAGCTTCTAATGTGTAAGTACATCACACACTATGTACTTGACCCCACCTCATCCTGCGCAATAACAATTGCAGGCCTATTCTGCCAGGCACTGTGACAGATAATAGGGTACGATGATAAGACACAACCTCTGCCTTCCAGATGCTCATATCTTATGAGAGAACCAGATATGTAAACAATTAGAATACAATGTAATAAGTATCACAATGGAGGTGCCATGGCCGCAGTTACAAACTGACAATCCTTGGACCAAATCCAGCCCATATGATGATTTAATATCCAGTCCATATGGTGATTAGGTTTTCTTAATCAGGTGCTAACCTCTAAAAATGTGTTGCTTTCACATAAAATTTTAGACTGCCAGCATCTCTTGAAGAATCATATCTGGCAATACTGGGCCTGTATTCTCGACAGCACCAACCAGCTTTGGCTAAGTAGTGGTTGTCCCTTTAGAGGGGGCATGTGGCCTCCAGTTCCCAGTCCCCCTGCCCTAACTCACTCCCCTAGTTTCTTCCAGGCAGTGATGCCAAGGGGTCAGCTGCTAGTTTTTCTAGGCCAGCACAGATGTTATCTTAAAGTAATGATTCTCCATACCCACACTTCTAAAAGGAGAAAATGAAAGATAAATGGACAAGGCCATGTGGAGAGCTTAAGAAAGTGGTGGAGAATGCATTTCCTACGAAAATGAAGAATATTCCTACCTATGTGATATGTAAGTGAAGTGTGTCCATGTCAGGTACCCGGTTCATTTGCTCATGCACCTGCCTGACCCATTAGGCTTCTCAGCATGGGTCTCTTCATCTGTTGCAAACCTACTATGGGCCAGCAAGCTAGAAGCCAGGTTTCCTGCTGTCTGGGAACTCACTGTCCGGTGGGGGAGACAGACATGTAAAAAGACAATTCACATATAATGGCATATGTTCACAATAGGTACTATGGGAAGTGAAAGGAAGGACTGCTAAGTCAGCCTGGAGAGGTTAGAGAAGAGCTAACTTCTGGCAGAGGATGACCCTGAGGCTGACTTTTGCAAAGTTTTTTCAAATGGACAGAGGAAGGTAAAAAGGGGCTCTGAGTAAGCTGCCAAAAGTAGTGCCCTGGCAGTAAAAAGTATTGCTCATCAGAATTACCCACCCTCCACAAAGAAGCTGGATCATTTCCCATAATTCCAGGCTACTCGGAAAAGTTTCCAGGAAAGTAAGGCCAGTAAATGATCTGCTTCCTGCCGGAAGACTGTAGAAAGCGCAGGTCACCACCGAGAGCAATGTCCAATTGTGTAATCCAACCTTACGTCACCAGTCTGCCTCACTGGCATTTATTCAGCGGAAATAAAAACCTGGAATCCTACTGGATTTTGAAACTTCCCAGTCCCTTGCTTCAGCTAACATAAAAAGTTCTACATTAAGAATATAAGGAAATGCACAGAAACTAGTCTGGCATCAAGGAAAAAAAGTTCTTCCATTTCCTGCTACAAGGACAAATGCCAAGGAAGGGAATTCCCAAATCAAGACAGGAGAAAGGGTTGGCATTCAAGAGAAGAAATATGGAATACCAAATCCTTGGTCATTAAGGAATCACTAACTCTTAAACAGTATTTCTTCAGATTTTCTTTTTTTTTAGCACCCACCTCTCCAGTCAGAGTCAAAGAGGAATTCTTGCCATTGAGGTGATTCTCGGCCTGCGCTGACTCCTGTTGAGCTCGGCGACCCATCTTGGCCCTCTGTAAGGAGAAACAGAAGGCACTGCTGACCCAAATGTCATTTGGGCCACTACTGAGATGACAATCCAGCCGGGCGCAGTGGCTCACAGCTGCAATCCCAGCACTTTGGGAGGACGAGGCAGGCAGATCACAAGGTCAGGAGATCCAGACCATCCTGGCTAACACGGTGAAACCCCGTCTCTACTAAAAACACAAAAGATTAGCCTGGCGTTGTGGCGGGCGCCTGTAGTCCCAGCTATTTGGGAGGCTGAGGCGGGAGAATCGCTTGAACCTGGGAGGCGGAGGTTGCAGTGAGCCGAAATTGTGCCACTGCACTCCAGCCTGGGTGACAGAGCAAGACTCCATCTCAAAACAAAACAAAAAAAAAGATGACAAGCCTGGGAAGGTAAGCAAGGACTGGATTTATGATGATGTGGTGGAGAACGGGATTTGAGTTACTTGGACATGTTTTTAGAAAACCCTCTAAAACCCCTTAAAACAAAGCACCTGAGGTCAGTTCTATTTGATAGGAAAATAGGAAATTAAGACAGGTTCTCACTCTGTTGCCCAGGCTGGAGTGCTCACCGCAGCCTCCACCCCCTAGGCTCAAGTGATCCTCCTACCTTGCCCTCCTGAGTAGCTGGGACCACAGGTACACACCACCATATCTGGATACTTTATTTTATTTTTTTGTAGATATGGGGTCCCCCTGTGCTGCCCAGGCTGGACAAGGTTTTCTTTCAACAGCTATAGAGATGGCAAAAGAAAATTCTATTTTCTACCCAAAGAAATGCAGTTACAAATTCCTCTAGAATGGGCAGATACCTCATGCCACAGGTCAGAGAAGAAGGTGGTAAATGCTCCCATGTTCCTACGCAGGATTTTAGGAAGGCTTAATTTCAAATCTGCAGCTTGGCATGAAAATCATTATCAAACAGGCTTTTGGAAAGAATTCCTAAATTCCATGGTAAATGGAAAACAGCATTTGCTCTGATATGTACAGTAACTGGGTTTGCCTTTACAGACATTAAGGGAAATCTAGTACAAGAATTTTGAGACATTATCTTTGGAAATCAGAGCACTTCAAAATTCTTGGCCATCAAATGAATCATTTGCAGGTGTTTCCCAAGGCCCTCCGGTGGAGACTCTGCCTCTAAGGCTTCCCAGCACATAAACAAAACTTTATTTAGTCAGACTCTTGGGTGCTGAAATATTTATACTTTTGCTTACTTTGTTTAAAAAAAACAGCATTAATATAAGCACTTTTAGATCTCATTTAATGTGGCTTCCTTTGATTCTCACAATAATGGACAGAAACTGAGACTGCTGTCATTTTACAAAGGAGGAAACTGAGGCCTAGGAAGGTGATGAAGTGGCTGACATAAACCTAGGAGCAAAGCCTTCTGATTTCAGATCCTGGGTTTCCTGGGTGCTTTCCACTCTACCCTGCTGAAACTTGTTTTAAGATGTTCTAAGGACTGACTGCCCCACTAAACTGAGAGGGGTTACAGAAGAGCTCGTAAAAACTCTTATGCAATGTCGACACTTCAAATTGTAGTGTCATTTAGGTTTCAGGGATGGTGGAAACAATCTTTCTGATAATAAGCAGCTTATTTTCTTCTCAAGTCAGACAATTCCATCCCTTCACCATGGTTGCCCTTTTCCATTTGTCACAGCACTGAGTATCTGAATACAGCATCCTACATATGGCGGTTGTGCTAAAACAAAAATTCAATGATCTTGTCGCTAAATGCTGTTCACAGGTGTTTTCTCTAATAATTTTTAAGTATTTCAAGGTTTTAAACTTTTTGAAGACCCTGTATAGATCCATAGGGTAGAAAAACTTCTTTACTGCCTGATTTTTGTGTATGTTAAATGTAGTCTATTTATTGCCCATCTTCTCCCACTACAACATAATCACATGAGGGCAGGAACTTTGCTTTATTCATTGCTGTATCTCCAGCACCTAGGACACTGCCTGATACACAGTAGGGGCTCAATAAATATTTGTTGAATGAATGAATAACTACATTCACATCCCCAGGTACTAAAAAACATTCACGTATCAGCAGGCCTGGTGACCTTCAAAACACTTAGAGATTTCACAGCAGACACTAAAGACTTGCTCTGGGGCCCAATCTTTTAGTAAGTGCGATCCTAACCAGTTTTAAAGATAAAAAGGCCTGATGGGGGTTACAAAGGAGGAAGGTAGACACTGAACTTGGGTCTTGAATCTAGCTCCATTATTTACTAACTATAACGCTGGGTAAACCACAGCCTCATAGGCAGCAGTAGCTAACCTCTTCTGACCTCTTCCGTGATAACATATGCCAAGCACTGAGTTACACGCTTCCCATGTATTGTTGCATTTCCTTTTCACTGTAACACCTCCATTCTAGGCATAAGGAAACCAAGGCTCGGAAAGGTTAAATCGTTTTTTAGGTTTTTTTTTTTTTTTTGAACCCAGGCAACAGCTCTATGCTCCATCTGGCCTCAGTGCCTGAGCACCTAATCACTCCCTCACGTTACAAATCGGTCTTGGTTTCCTTAACTACTGAGGTAACTGAGGTTAACTCCCACCTCCCCACGGGGATTACCGGGAAGAAAGGCCGTCCCTGCCTGCCTCCCTTCCATGCATAAAACAGTGCGGCTTTTGCAGGAACTTCTGCGACGAGGTGTCCCAAAGGAAAAACTCTAGGATGGGAGCGAGTGCGACCCCGGCCGGGGCTCCCCTATCACCCTGTGATCGATCTGTTCTGGGGAAGTTCGCACTCGGGGCTCTAGAAAACGGAGAAAGGCTCGGAAATTTCCCACGGTCCTAGACGCCGGCGGGGACAGGGTGTTTTCTACTTTCTGAGGATTTTAAAGAAAGCAAACCCCAGGCCAGCAGCGGCGGAGCCCACAGTGGCCTGGGGGCGGGGCGGTGAGGCTGCCTCCTTCTGGGCCTCACCCGGCGCGGCGCGAGGCCTGCCGCCCTGAGTCGCCTCAGAGAAGTCGGGGCCGGCGGGGTCGCTCCTCCCCACCCGCCAAATCCTGGCCCCCAAGGCCCCCGAATTGGTCCTCACGGAGGTAGCCAAGCTGTAGCGAAGCTCCTCGTCCAAGTCGAGCAAATCCTCCATCTCCGCGGCCGCCTGACGTCACTTCCTGGAAACCGACTGGCCCAGACGCGTCCCTGCTAACAGCCCCGCCCCTCCACCCCAATTTTTAAAGGGTACGCAGCATGGTTCCTGGATTCTGTGTGCCATCCTCCAAACTACCGAATCTTTCTTAAATCTGCCTTGCTTGACATCTGGAAGCAACCTCCGGTTATTAAAACTCGCCAACGCTGCTCCTGCGAGACGGTAAAATAATTTGGTCGTTAGGAACTGTCTGTATTTGTAGCTCTGTTTAAATATATCAATATATTAAGTGCAAAGCACTACTACTGCTATACTGATGCCTCCCACTTGTACAGCTCTTTGCAAGGTACAGAAGGCCGTCACAGTTATTGGCTTAACGTGAGGGGCATTAACAACCTTGTGTGGGAAGCAAGATAAGTGGTATTGTTTCCATTTGACAGATGAGAAAACAGGGAATCAGGTGTAATAAATGGTTTACCATGAATTATGGAAACTGCAATATACATAATCTCTGCCTTCAAGAAGTTTACAGAGAGGCTGAATCAACACATCAAATAGCTGAGTAGTAATAACTTTCAAAAGTACAAATATTCAATATCTCATTAAATCCCAATAATCCCGCAAAGTGAGTAGCAGTAGTATCTCTAACACAACAATAAAGCACACTGAGGTACAAAGAAGGGGCTTGAGGAAAATCACCTAAGTGCCAAGCAGCAGAGCCAAATGCCCTTCTGACACCAGACATTACTGGAGTATTTATCTCCAGCACATACTACTGGGTGCCAGCCATTCTCCTAGGCTGGCAGAGGGAGATGTACCACAAATTCCCAGCCTAATGGGGCATTTAAGTTGCGTCTTTGTTGACTCTTCATATGAGATCTCCAAGTCAATATCACTGGCCAGGTCCCTGACACTGGTTGGCTGAGATCCATAGGAGATGGGCTGATAGCCCTGAAAGCAAACAACATTCCAGTATTATGTTGAGGGGAAGGCCTGGATGGACACAGGTTAAAAGCAAGGATTCGGAAGTGGGAGTAGCACCCCTGAAACCTCATTGCAAGCATTTCTTAAATATCCAGTAAATCACTCAGTTCAGTCACACATGTTACTGGATAGGACTGTGTGTTAGCATGCCTGTGACAGCAAGAGCACTGGCCTGGATATCAGAAGAGCTGTGTTCTCATCTTAGCTCTCCTGAAAACTACCTGTGTAGTCAGAGCAGAGCCCTTTCCGCTATCAGTTTCCTCCCTTGTAATTACTTTAGAGATTATCTCTAAGATCCTTTGTTAACTTGCTTCTCAGTGAGAATACTTTGTTAGATTTTAATCTGAAGAAACACTCATTGCCAAAAATCCAAGACAGATGAAATATAGGCTCCAATGAATCCCTTGTTCCCTTCTTCTTCGGCACCAGATGAGGAAGAAGGGATTAATCTTTGGATTTTTCCATTTCTTGTAAGCTCACAGCATACGACCATCACCTTATAGTCAGTTTCCAGACCTTCACCCCCACTTCTTCCCCAACTTGCTGAAAACAGAAGGCAAATGGTCCTCACTCTGGGCAGAGAGGTACCCTGCAGTAGTAGCTTCCAGAACTTGCTTAGCACCTGAATCACGTGTGAGGTTTGTAAAGAAACAGAGATGCCAGGGCCTCAGCTCTGGAGACTGATTTGGTAGAGGTGGAGTCCAAAAAAGTATAACTTTAATAATTTTCCTTCCTATCTTGCAACTGTCTGCTCAAAGGCCTTCCCTTATCACCCTATTTGAAACTGCAACATCCCCCAACCTAGGCACACCCCATCCTCCTTCCCTGCTTGATTTTCTGCCACACCACATTTGTTTGTTTGCTTGTCTGTTTGAGACACGGTCTTGCTCTGTCGTCCAGGCTGGAGTGCAGTGGTGCAATCTTGGCCCCCTGTAAACTCTGCCTCCCTGGCTCAAGTGATTATCCTGCCTCAGCCTCCCAAGTAGATGCCTGCGCCAACATGCCGGGCTAATTTTTCCATTTTTTTGTAGAGACTGGGTTTCGCCGTGTTGCTGGGGCTGGTCTCGAATTCCTGAGCTCAAGTAATCCTCCTGCATGGGCCTCCCCAAATGCTGGGATTACAGGCGTGAGCCACTGCACCTGGCTCAGCACTTTTTACCGTACTACATCATTTACATATTTATTTAGTTTATCGCCTCCTCCACTGCCCCACCCCTGCCTCTAAAATAAAATTTCCCTGAGGGCAGGAGTTTTGTTTCGTTCACTGATATTCTTCACAGAGCCTAGAATAGTGCCTGGTATATAGTAAACATTAAACTTTTTCTGAAATTTCAGAGGCAGTATAGCATAGTAATTAAGTCCAGAATCTGGCAACGTCCTGGGTCCAAATCCCAACAGCTGACACCTAATAACTATGTGACCTTGGGCAAGTTACTTTTAAAGTTTCTACCCCTAGGTTTCCCATTGGTTTTGCAAATGAAAGTAATGCCTACCCAAGCTAGATAGCCTGTGTAAAATATCGCCTCCATCACTCACAAGCAGTGTGGTCTGTAAAAAAAAAAACAAAAAACTCTATGCCTCAGTTTCCTCATCCGTAAAGTGACCCACCGCTGTGCTGGGATACAGAGAACAGCCCCTTCAGTTAGTGGCCTGGAAGCCAGACCTCTCAGAAAGGGTCCAGGAAGGCTGGAGTGAGATGGGGTGGGAGCGGCACTCACTCTCAGGAAAGTTCAGTTCAGAGGCAAGCCCTGTGTTGCGGGGTGCGGGGAGCCACGTGCCCTACCCTCCCTTGGCTGCTCGTGGGAAAAGGCCTAGAGGTTCGGGCCGAGAAGAGGAGCGAAAGCACAGAGCCGACTTCCCCTCACCCATCTGGGAAATGGGCTCGGGCCAACTGCTGACTTCGCGCTCGCTGGCGCAGCTCCCTGCGGAGACCTCGGCGGGGAGGGAGGCTGAACATCTGGATGACATTTCTGCGAGAGCGGCTCCGGAGCGGCGGTCGGGGAGGGAGAGGTGCGCTCGTGCGCACGTCGGGCCGGGAGGGAGGCGATTCCTCGGGGCCTGGGTCTTGTTTTTCTCGCTCTCTACCGCAGCCCCTTCTCCCGCCCCTCAGCCCCCACCCCGCAGCCCCCAGCCCCCGAGCCTCCCCGGCTCCCGACCAGCCGAGCTCCTTCACTGGCGGCCTCGCCTCGCCAGAGGGCACCCTCGATCTTCCGGAAAACGCCACCATTTTTCACTGCCCCTGGAGCGTCTCCAGGCTTCTGCCCGCCTCCCGACTCCGATCTTGTCAATGAAGAATCGGGCCAGGATCGCCGCGGAGCGGACGCCGACCCTCCGACCCGGCTCGCAGGCTGGGAGTCCCCTCTGCGAGGCTGGCATGGCCGCCCCTACCGGGTCCCGCGCCCTCTGCGGACCCTGCCCCGGGTTGGGCCTGGCCCGCGGGCGGCCCCGGGACCGGGGGACCAGGAGGGAGAGTAGACGCGGGCCGCGGACGGCGCGGACTGACAGCTGGCGAGAGGGCGCCGGGGCTGGGGGAAAGGGAGGGAGGGGGCTCATCGGAGTAACTTTCCAGAAAAACAGCCAACGTGTGGCAGGAGTGATTCCAAGAGGGGAAAAAAAGTTCAGCTACCACGTCGAACGAGAGGACTCGCAAAGTATTTTTCAAAAGGGCTCGGCTTTTCCTGTGCCTGTTTAAAACATTAACATCGTGCAGCAAAAGAGGCTGCGTGCGCTGGTCCCTCCCTCCCCCACCCCAGGCCAGAGACGTCATGGGAGGGAGGTATAAAATTTCAGCAGAGAGAAATAGAGAAAGCAGTGTGTGTGCATGTGTGTGTGTGTGAGAGAGAGAGGGAGAGGAGCGAGAGGGAGAGGGAGAGGGAGAGAGAGAAAGGGAGGGAAGCAGAGAGTCAAGTCCAAGGGAATGAGCGAGAGAGGCAGAGACAGGGGAAGAGGCGTGCGAGAGAAGGAATAACAGCTTTCCGGAGCAGGCGTGCCGTGAACTGGCTTCTATTTTATTTTATTTTTTTCTCCTTTTTATTTTTTAAAGAGAAGCAGGGGACAGAAGCAATGGCCGAGGCAGAAGACAAGCCGAGGTGCTGGTGACCCTGGGCGTCTGAGTGGATGATTGGGGCTGCTGCGCTCAGAGGCCTGCCTCCCTGCCTTCCAATGCATATAACCCCACACCCCAGCCAATGAAGACGAGAGGCAGCGTGAACAAAGTCATTTAGAAAGCCCCCGAGGAAGTGTAAACAAAAGAGAAAGCATGAATGGAGTGCCTGAGAGACAAGTGTGTCCTGTACTGCCCCCACCTTTAGCTGGGCCAGCAACTGCCCGGCCCTGCTTCTCCCCACCTACTCACTGGTGATCTTTTTTTTTTTACTTTTTTTTCCCTTTTCTTTTCCATTCTCTTTTCTTATTTTCTTTCAAGGCAAGGCAAGGATTTTGATTTTGGGACCCAGCCATGGTCCTTCTGCTTCTTCTTTAAAATACCCACTTTCTCCCCATCGCCAAGCGGCGTTTGGCAATATCAGATATCCACTCTATTTATTTTTACCTAAGGAAAAACTCCAGCTCCCTTCCCACTCCCAGCTGCCTTGCCACCCCTCCCAGCCCTCTGCTTGCCCTCCACCTGGCCTGCTGGGAGTCAGAGCCCAGCAAAACCTGTTTAGACACATGGACAAGAATCCCAGCGCTACAAGGCACACAGTCCGCTTCTTCGTCCTCAGGGTTGCCAGCGCTTCCTGGAAGTCCTGAAGCTCTCGCAGTGCAGTGAGTTCATGCACCTTCTTGCCAAGCCTCAGTCTTTGGGATCTGGGGAGGCCGCCTGGTTTTCCTCCCTCCTTCTGCACGTCTGCTGGGGTCTCTTCCTCTCCAGGCCTTGCCGTCCCCCTGGCCTCTCTTCCCAGCTCACACATGAAGATGCACTTGCAAAGGGCTCTGGTGGTCCTGGCCCTGCTGAACTTTGCCACGGTCAGCCTCTCTCTGTCCACTTGCACCACCTTGGACTTCGGCCACATCAAGAAGAAGAGGGTGGAAGCCATTAGGGGACAGATCTTGAGCAAGCTCAGGCTCACCAGCCCCCCTGAGCCAACGGTGATGACCCACGTCCCCTATCAGGTCCTGGCCCTTTACAACAGCACCCGGGAGCTGCTGGAGGAGATGCATGGGGAGAGGGAGGAAGGCTGCACCCAGGAAAACACCGAGTCGGAATACTATGCCAAAGAAATCCATAAATTCGACATGATCCAGGGGCTGGCGGAGCACAGTAAGTCCAAATTCTCGCTGGGGTGTCTGCTCTGGAGGGTCTGAACTGGAGCTGGGAGCTCTGCAGAGGGGGGCCTAGTGCTGGCCACACAGCAGGGTGCCCCAGGATTCACCAGCACCAAGGCTCAGGATGTGCGATGCTCCTCCGTTGGGGCTGGGGAGGTGGGTGGGGAAGGAGATAGAGCCATTCTGTTAAGAGCCGGCGCTTCTGGGAGGCCAGGAGCCCTGGAGCTGAGTGGCTTGCTGAATTCACATCACATCCTTGACTGATTTTAATTTGGAATTACATTGTGCTGTCCAGGGAAACATATGTATTCTTGCACATGCGATCGTATCAGTAACTGTAAGCATCTGGGTGCCATAAAGGGGAAGGCCGGCTCTGTCAGGAGCCCTTACGGTTCTCAGTGTGGAGACCTCATCTTCTCCCTGCTTTTCACAACTCATTGTGACACGTCTCCGTTTCAGTTTTTCCAGTTCTTGGGAAGAAGAATACCTGCCCCAAATTAATGTCTGTCAAGCTTTTTGAAGCCCAGGCAGGAGACAGCTTCTTGCTGCCTGGGCCCTTTGGTCTACCCCACCCACGTGACCCACGAGACCCACGTGAGCTGTGTGTGTGGAAGGAAGAGGGTATGCACGAATGTTCCCAGGGCCGTGTACTTTAGGGTGACATGCAGTCTTGTGCAGTAGACAGATTCATGTGCTCAAAATGGGCGCCCTCCAGGCCGGTGGGCACGGGGAGAGCGGGTTTTGGCTGTGGATGCGTAGAGGAGGCTGGCGCCCTTTGTGTCTGCGTGTCACGGGAGAGCGGGTGGAGGGGTGGCAGTGGGTGCATGGTGGGGGGGGGGGATATGTCTGGGAGCCTGCCGTCCCAGGAGGCTCTGTCTGCATGGAGGAGCCGGGCGGCTTCTGGGCGAGATGTCTGTGTGTGTTGGTACACGTGTGGAAGTCATATGTGTTTACTGAAGGGGATTTTAAAAACCTCAATACAAGAGAGAGAAATTTGGCAGATGTTGAGAAACTGACAGCCCAGGAAAGAGGAATGTGAGCCACTCGTGGGCCGTAGACTCCGGGAGCAGCTCTGTTTGCTTTTCCTACCAGCAGGTGTCCTCGCCGCCCTGACTACCTCAGCCCAGGCCCACCTGGGAGGTGGGCAGCTCCTGGAGTGGGGTGGAGGGCATGGGATGGAGCTGGCAGGCAGGGGAGGGTGGTCAGCAGAGCACACAGCAAGGGGTGAAAGGAACCTGGCTGGAGAGAAGGAACAGGAGTGGGTACCGATGGGTGGACCAGCTCTGGCTGGAGGTGCAAAGGCCCCGTTCACGGCTCCACGCCAGGCAGAGGAGCCTGTGGTTACTGGCGAGGGGTTCCCGCTCCAGCTTCCTGTGGCTGCCTGGAGCGCCTTTCTTCAGGATGTGGCTGCCATGTGGGGCGGAGGCTGGAGGCCGATGCAGAGCTACTACTCCCTGCCCAGGGTCTCTGGGTGGGGCTGGCTCAGAGACCCACAGTTCCCAGAGGCACCTAGCAGCTCGATGGCCAAGGCTCCAACTCCCTGGGAACCCACCAACGCGGGAGATAGTGACCACAAGCATCAGAGGAAGGTCGAAATCTGAGGCCGGCAGGAGAGGTGTGAGGAGAGTCCAGGGCAAGAGGGCAGGACTCAGACCTTCATGGTCTGGGTCAGCAGGAGGAGTCCAAGGGAGGAAGCATTCTGAGTCACCAGGACCCCCCCATCCCGGAATCCTGAGCTGAGAATGAATGAGCCACGTGGAGGCAAGGCCATGCAGGTGCAAGTGGACACTGATTTTGTGCAGACTCAAAGCACAAATAGCAGATGTCCTTGGGAAAAGCCCGGGCAGGGCCCCATAGATGCTGGGCAGCTTCCAGGCTGCAGTACCAAGACCTTACAACTGCAACAGATGGGTGGATGTGGGGTTATGGAGCAATGGTCTGGCCTGGGGCAACCCAGCACAGTGAGCAGGATGCTGTTCAGGATGCTGGGGAGGAGCCAACGTGCGATGCTATGAGGCTCACAGGTACAAACCGGAAGCAGGCAGACTCTGCAGCTGTTGGAGGTGACTTGGAGGCTGAGCAGACGGACCTGGGCCCGCCCTGCAGCTGGTCGGGTGCTGAGCCCACCCCAGAGAGGCAGACACACAAGGCACACTAACTATAAAGAAGGCAGTGGGCAGGTGCTGAGCAGGAGCAGAGAGCCATCATCAGGGGCTTGCAAGGCGGCGGGGCGGGGTGGGGGAAGGAAGCCTGTCTTTAACTCATGAGGGCAGACAGGGGTGACACCAGGTCTGTGGTGGGGCACAGCAGGGTCTCAATGCCAGAGCCTCTGCTGGGAGGTCATGAGATCACGTTCTGTTCCATATTTCCTCACTTCTGGCCACTTCCCTGACCCAGTGAACATGCATTCAAAGGAAAGTGACAGTAGGAGCCAGGGCAAGGAGATAGAGGTCCCTGGAGAGGAAAATGAAAGAGGAAATACTTTTTAGTAGTGCAGGAGAAAGGGCACCAAGGTGAGAGCAGAGAGGAAGGCCTTTTCCTAAATAACCTTTTCTCCCTGTTTTACAGATAAGGAAACTGAGACCTGGATTGCTTAAGTAATTTGTCCAAAAAGAGCAGGGACCCTAACCTAGACATTCTGTGTGCAGGACGCATGTAGTTAAGCACTCATTTATATGTAAAATACACGTTGTAAGTGTTACCTTTAACCTCCTTTAACCTTTAGGGTTCAGTAGAACTTTGATTTATAACATAAATGAATCATGTGTTGGACCAAGCAGGAGAGGTCAGAGTTATTATCTTAGTAACCCAGGTGGCAGATTGCACAATGATAACTGGATTTGTTCTTCCTTAGCTCTGCATTTTTTTTTTTTTTTTTTTGCCCGGGAGATTCATACTGCCACAAATGTTCTCCCTAATTTAATGAAGGAGTTTTCTTTATTTAATGAAGAGTCTCAAGCAGGTTAAGCAACCGCAGCTACGTAAAAGTGACCTCTCTGAGCCTCAGTTTCCCCAGCTGTAAAGTTAGAGATGATTTCCAAACTCCTTTTCAGCTGAAAGAATTTTATAATTCCATCTGGGATGAATCAGCAGAGCCTCTATTGGGGAGTATGGGCAAGACTCTGTAATCCTTTTTCTAATTCTCCAGGATTTTACTGTCGGGAGGGAGTAGAGAGTTTCTCTGACCCCATGTGATGGGAAAGGACACAGCTTTTTTACTTCCGTTGTCATCCCTCTTACAAAGGTATCACCAATGTAGGTGTCATTTTATCTTCTGGCTTGTAATTATCTGTCTCTGTTCGGAGACTTGTTGTTTTCAGCCAAGGGCAGCGCTAAGACAACCAGCAAACCCAGAGTTTCTCAGCAAAGAGAAAACTCTATATTTTAGTCTTTGTTCTCTAGCTGCTAAGTGTAGATTTTGTTTATTCTGAGAATTATTCTGAAAATCATTTGCTCCAAGGGCCAATGCCCTCTGCACAGTAGAGGTCAGCACTTCTCCAAGTGTGGTCCAGAGGAAGCTGGAGGTAAATGTAGATTCCCTGGTCCCACCCACCCTTATAGAATCAGAATCTTGAGGGGGTGGAGTCTTGGGGAACCTGTATTTTCGACAAGCTCCTTATGGATTCTTAAGCACATTGAAGCTTAAGAGTCAGTGAACTAGGGCGAAACTTTTCTTAGAGGGATGGCAAACACAAGTGCCTACAGAGACCCGGCAGGAAATGCAAATGATCTGGAAGAAAAGCCACGGCGTCATGATAAACTGCACCAGGACACTTGGTCTTGGGGTCAAGAAGAAAGTAGGGTGTGTGAGACAGGGAGAGGGAGGGGACCTGGAGCCCACGTGCCCAGCCAAAGCAGCAGCCAGCCTCAGTTCTTGCTGGGTTTTGCATTGAGGACTGTGGGTCCAGCTTGATTAGTTCTTCCCGTGTCCCAGAAAAGCAGAAAATCTGGATCTTTCTGTGAAGTGTTCCAATTTTTAACATGGGCTTAAAATGTTTATGGGCTTCTAACTCAAAATTTTTAAAGGTGTTCCATCAGCGAAACAACATGTCTAATTCATTTAACGGTTAATCAATAGAAAGCTCACACCATTAAAGCAGTGGTTTCTCAAACTTCCAGAACATCTAGAAGCCATGGTGCCCTTTGCAACACATTATAATCTGTGGTTCTCAACCCTGGCTGCACGTTAGAATCATCTGGAGATCTTGAAAAAAATATGCCGTGGACCCCACTCACTCCAGTGTAGTCAGAACTGCTGGGGAATGGGTCCAGGAATCATTTGTTTTTAAAGCTTTCCAGGTGATTCTAATGTGCAGCCAGGGTAGAGAAGTACAGCCACACTGATAAATATAGTCCCTTCACTAGAACCAGCAGAAATGATATATACAAGCAAAGGCACACCTAGCCACCCAGGTGTCTGAACACATTTTAAAAGGCAGTTAACTAAACATGGTCAGCTATTTCCTGGTTTTTCCATGCATACTGTACATGAATATTCTTTGCTTATGTTTTGCCCCGTTAAACAAAATAGAGAAAATGGCATTCACCAATATATATTTTTTCTGTGCAATGGAAAAAGTTGCTCAAGATTTAATTTGTAAAGGTGGGACCCCCTAGTCCAGCTCTCAATAATACTAGTGTTCTGTGAGGCATGGCTTAAGAACCACAAACTCGTTTGCAGTGGGTCATTGTCTGAGGCATAGGTTGACACTCTAGGCCCATTTAGTGGAATCTTGCCATATTTTGTTGATGAAACCATCTTCACCAGATGATCTCCCAGATCCCTCCCAGCTTGAAGAGTCTCTGCTTCAATAAATGAGGTATGTTCAGAAGACCTGGGTTCAAACCCCACCTCCACCACCTTCTAGTTATGTGACCTTGGGAAAGACATTTAACTTTTTGAGGCTCAGTTTTCTCATTTGTCAAGTGATAAATTTTACATGTTTTCATTCTTCTCAGGGGTTGTTAGAAGGTCACATGAAGTAATAAAAACTCGACAAAACAAGGTGGTGCTATTACATTTTGCTTATTTATGTATACGATGATTCATTCCACAGATTACTTAAAACATCATTATTCAGTGAATTTGATTGTCAAGAAGATTGTATGTACATTTTCTTTGATCTCCCAGGCAATTCTTTTTTTTAATTAATTTTAATTTTAATTTTTTTGACAGAGTCTCACTCT